>NC_000024.10:2738307-3038717 GCF_000001405.40 Homo sapiens | reverse complement strand
TCTTTGGGTATATACCCAGCAGTAGGATTGCTGTAGTATATGGTGCTCTATTTTTAGGTTTCTGAGAAACCTCCAAAGTGTTCTCCATAGTGGATGCACTAACTTACATTCCCACCAACAGTGTACAAGGATTCTCTTTTCTACACATCCTTGCCAGTGTTTGTTATTGCCTGTCTTTTGGATATATTTTAACCAGGGCGAGATGATATCTTACTGTAGTTTTGATTTGTATTTCTCTGGTGATCAATCATGTTGAGCACCTTTTCATATGCCTGTTGCTTGCCATTTTTTTCACTTTTATTTTAGCTTTATGGGTCCAAGTATAGGTTTGTTAAATAGGTAAATTGGGTGTTTCAGTGTTTTGGTGTACAGATTTTTTCATCATTTAGGTAATCAGTGTAGGAACCAATAGACAGTTTTTTACCGTCACTCTCCTCTCACCCTGCATTCTGAAGTAGGCCCCAGTGTCTGTGTATCTTATGCTGTCCTGGAGATTTCAATATATAACCAAGAGTGAGAACCATTTTGTACCCAAAGCTAGCAGAAATGTGACTTTGGAGGTGCTGAAGTTAAAAAAAACGGGTGCTAGAAACTAATACTAGACAGTTGGGGTGGGTCACACCTATAATCCCAGCACTTTCAGAGTCTGAGGCAGATGGATCACTTGAAGTCAGGAGTTCAAAAACCAGCCTGGCCAACATGTAAAACACCATATCTACTAAAAATACAAAAAAAATTAGCCACGCATGGGGGCAGACATCCATAATCTGAGCTACTCAGGAGGCTGAAGGAAAAAGAATCACCTGAACCTGGGAGGTGGATGTTTCAATGAGCTGAGATTGTGCCACTGCACTCCAGCCTGGGTGACAGAGCAAGACTCCATCTCAAAAAAAAAAAAAAAGAAAAGAAAAAGAAATATTAAAACTGATAAACTTTATTCATTTATTACCTATTTCCCTGCAAGTTGTACAAAGACTCATATTTTTATATTTTCAAACATGCTGTCAGTCCTATAGACCAGCTGGTCCTCATTTAGCAGCACATCTTGGGCAAGTTTTGTAAACTCTTTGACTTTCAGTTTATTCATATAAAAATTGAGTGCATTAAGGGGTTGTGTTAAGGATTAAACAAAGTAAGCTGTACTCTACACATCTGTCTTCATCCACTTAATACTGTCATAAAAGAATACTCTAGACTGGGTAGTTTGTTAAGAAAATAGGTGTGGGGGTTTTTTGGCTCATGGTTCCGCAGGCTGTTCATGAAGGCTTGCTCTGGTATCTCAGCTTCAGAAGAGGGCTTTGTGCAGCATTATGAGATTGTAGAGGTCAAACAGGGAGTGTAAAGAGGCAAATCCCAAGGAGTGTTTCAGCTTAACAAATCTGTTTCTACAAAAAACTAATCTTGTGAAACAAGGGTAAGAACTTACAACTGCAAGAACAGGACCAAACCATTCATAAGGGATCTATTGTCATGACCCAAACCTTTCCCATTATGTCCCACCTCCAACACTGGGGTTCAAATTTCCAAGAGTTTTGGTGGGAAGAACTGACCATATTCAAACCATATTTAAACCAGCTAAATATGATTTTTATTATTGGCATGCATAACACAAACTTTGCCTGATGGCTACTGGTCAAGAGGAGAGAGAGAAGAAAACCCAATGCGGGGGGCCAGTCAGGTAATGTGCAAGTGTGTAATATGACCTGCTTGCTTAATTTAGGAGTGTAAGTCTAATCTTATGTGTAATGCATGAACAGGAAATAAGAAACTACATTCAGACTTGCTTACAGATGCATAAAGTATAGTAGGACAGTTAAGGAACTGGTAAAAAAATGTTTGTAGATTGTTATGGAGACTGTGAAGTTAGGGATAGGAATGGCAGACTTTTATCTTTTTATTTTTGACCCATGTGAATATGTTAATTTTTCAACAATGTAAGTAAAAAGATTAGCCATAGGAAAACAGGATGTTACTATAGATACGAACTTAAGAACCTTTTCCTCCTCATCTCCTTCTGCTACATCCCCTTTCTTTTACTTTACTGGTCTTACTTTATGTAGGTTTGATAAGTTTGTTTTTGACTAACAGTAGTTTGACATATTGATACATATGGAGTCTCAAGGGCATTCCTTTTGATAATGGTGATGAGACAACTAAGTACAGTGGGACAATCTTGTTAATATGTGTATATACTCAGTTGTGTGACTGCAATTACCATGTGGAAATTATAACAAATAGCTATTTTATTGCATACTGCTTGGGAAACACATATCCATGTGCTTTTTGAAAATTATCTTTTGCCTTTTCTTCTCTGAGTCTCCTTTTATTTATTTTTGGGGAAGTGTCAATAACTTTAAGACAGATTGGTAGGCTTATTAGCTGGCTTGAATAAAGTTTTGAGGGTTTGGAATGGGGGATTTGGGGCTTCTTGGCCATGATCCAGCAACAAGATACCATCTTTGACACAGAGACCAAATTTCTAGCACCTTGACCTTGGACTTCCACCCTCTAAAACTGTGAACAATCAATTTTTGTTTATAGATTACCCATTCTGTGGTATTTTGTTGAAGCAGCATAAAGGGACTAAAACAAGGTTAATCCAAGATTGATGTTTTATTAATTTCACCATTAAAAGCCAAGTCACCAGAAACCAAATCATCCCCTCCCTATATAACAAACTTCCAAAATGTTATAATGTATATGTCATGTTGACAAAAATAGAAAGAATAATCTAGGATACCTTCTTGTAATTATATGCACTTACTAAAGAATGACAGTAGTATTTGTATTTTATGTGCTACTGCCTTCATCAGAATCAACAAATCCTGTTTGAACAACTCCTATATTATAAGTCCACCTTGGGTTTCAGACATATGTACTTTTGGAAGTATTGTAATTTAAAAATTATTAATAGAGTTTTTTTGTTACACAATTATCATTTAGCTACGTTAAAAGTATGTGTCACTATCAGTTTTTGGAAAACAACTGATAAAATACATGGATTTTCTGAGTCTTTGTTGGCATCTGAGCTCTAAATTTAGTGCTAGCTTACCAAATATTTGCTGGATTTCAAAGTCTGCATTTCCATCACATGGGATAATTTATATTCTCTTGTGATGTAAAGTGGGAAAACATAATTTCTCCCCATTCATTTAGGAGTTATTAATAGCCATTCACTCAATGGTTCAAGTGTACATCATACTATATGGTGGTGCATGCCTATAATATCAGCTACCTGAGAGGCTGAGGCAGGAGAATCACTTGAACCCAAGATGCAGAGGTTGCCGTGAGCTGAGATGATGCCACTGCATTCAGCCTGGGCAACAGAGCAACCCTCTGTCAAGAAAGAAAGAAGAAAAGAAGAAATGAAAAGAAGAAAGGAAGAAAGAGAGAGAGAGAAAGAAGAAACAAGGAAAGAAAGAGAGAGAGAAAGGAGGGAGGGAGGGAAAGAGAAAGGAAGGAAGGAAGGAAGGAAGGAAGGAAGGAAGGAAGGAAGGAAGGAAGGAAGGAAGGAAGGAAGGAAGGAGGGAAGTGAGTGGAGGGGAGGGGAGGGAAAAGTAAAGGGGACTTTTTCTTGCAGCTTAGGTAATAGCTTGGCACAGTGGTGTAGAGCACCAAGCTGGGCTGTTGGTGTTTCCAATTCTGGGTCATGGCTCTTAGCATTTCTGGACCTGCCCTGGGCCACAAGGGAGCCCTCTTCCCTGAAGAGTAAGTTGCAGACCTGGCAGCATTCATCACAAGCTTACTGGAGATCCAAGAGCTGTGATGATGTTAGCCATGGAATGAAGAACCTCTGCCTATGGAAAGCACAGGGAAGAGTGAGAAAGAATGTGCTATGGTTTGAGGGCCAGTTCAGCTACAGTAGAGGAGAATGCAAGGTTGGCATGTAAGCTTTCTTACTCCAGTCCCTGGCTCCTGCGTGGCATCTCCGGACCCACCAGGAGCCAGGAGGAATTCGTTGCCCTTTAGGGAAGGATATAAGCATGACTGGCTTTGCCACCTAAAGATTGTAGAGGCCTAGGGCCTTGAGTGAACACAGACAGAAACAAAGTAGCAGTTACAGCAGGACTTAGGTGAGACTCAGTGCTGTGCTGGCTTCAGGTCTGACCCAGATCACTCTCAGTGGCAGTGGCCACAGAGAAGTGGTGTCACCCCACCCCCAACAATAGGTGGCTCAGCATAGAGAGAGGGACTCCATTTATTTGGGAGAAAGTAAAGAAAGAGCACAAGAGTTTCTGCTGGTAACTGAGATAATTTTTCTGGATCTTATCCAACATCATCAAGGTAGTAGGACCTCTGTGAGTCTGCACCAACAACAGCATTACTGAGCACGGGGTTGTGTCTAACACAAATATGGCTTAGATCCCGAACCCAAAGAACTTTTGAATACCTGGAAACCCTTCCCAAGAAGGACAAACACAAACAAGTCCAGACTGCAATAAATACCTAACTCTTCAATGCCCAGACACAGACAAATCAAGATGAACCAGGAAAATATGAACTCACCAAATGAACTAATAATATAAGGCCACAAGGATCACACCTGAAAAAAACAGAGATATGTGACCTTTCAGACATGGAATTCAAAATAGCCATTTTGAGGAAATTTAAAGAAATTAAAGATAACAGAAAAGAAATATAGAATTATATCAGGTAACATTTAACAAAGAGACTGAAATAATTAAAAAGCATCAAACAGAAACTATGAAGTTGAAACTATAACTGACATACTGAAAGATGCATCAAAGTCTCTTACCAGGAGAAATGATCAAATGAAAGAAAAAATTATAAACTTGAAGACAGGCTACTTGAAAATACACAGTAAATGAAGACAAAAGAATAAAAAATAATGAAGCATGCCAACAAGATCTAGGAAAAAACAATCTCAAAAAGTCAAATCTAAGCCTTGTTAGCCTTAAAAAGAGGAGACAGAGAGGGAGTGGAAAGTTTATTCAAAAGGTTAATAATAGAGAACTTTGCAAACCTAGAGAAAGATATTAATATCCAACTACAAGAAAGTTATATAACATCAAGCAAATTTAATGCAAAGAAGACTACTTGTAGGCATTTAATAACCAAACTCCCAAAGGTCAAGGATAAAGAAAGGATCCTAAAAACAACAAGAGATTAGAAACAAATAACATACAATGTAGCTCCAATACCTCTGGCAGCAGACTTTTCAGTGGAAACCTTATAGGCCATGAGAGGCGCATGAGATATTTAATGTGTTCAAGTAAAAAAACTTTTATCCTAGAATAGTATATCAGACAAAGGTATCCTTCAAACATGAAGAAGAAATAAAGAAATTACCAGATTAATGAAAGCTGGCAGAGTGCATCAACACCAGACCTGTCCTATAAAAAATGCTAATACAGCAGTTCTTCAATCAGAAACAAAACGCCACGAAAGAGCAATAAGAAGTCATCTACAGAAACAAAGCTCATTAGAGACAGTAAGTACAAAAAAAAACACAGAATAGTATAATGCTGTAGTTGCAGGGGGTAAACTACACTTAAAGCACAAAGACTAAAAGACAAATAATTCAAAAATTATAACTAAAACAATTTCTCAAGATTTAGCCCAAGATATAAATAGAAACAATAACAAGTTATGAAGCGGATAGATGAAGTTACAGTGTTGAATTTTTATGAATTTTCTTTTAGCTTATTAGTTAGTCTATAAAAACAGGGTTAAGTTTTTCCTAGCTTAAAATAATGAGTTACGGGAGTCTAGCCAAGATGGCCGATTGGGAACAGCTCCAGTCTACAGCTCCCAGTGTGAGCGACCCAAAAGATGAATGATTTCTGCATTTCCAACTGAGGTACCAGGTTCATCTCATTGGGGATTGTCGGACAATGGGTGCAGGACAGTGGGTGCAGTGCACCAAGCATGAACCAAAGAAGGGCGAGGCATCGCCTCACCCAGGAAGCATAAGAGGTCAGGGAATTCCCTTTTCTAGCCAAAGAAAGGGGTAACAGACAGCACCTGGAAAATCGGGTCACTCCCACCCTAATACTGCGCTTTTCTGATGATCTAAGCAAATGGCACACCAGGAGATTAGATCCTGCACCTTGTTCAGAGGGTCCTATGCCCACGGAGCCTCACTCATTGCTAGCACAGCAGTCTGAGATCAAACTGCAAGGCAGCAGCAAGGCTGCAGGAGGGGGGCCCACCATTGCCAAGGCTTGAGTAGGTAAACAAAGTGGCTGGGAAGCTCGAACTGGGTGGAGCCCACCACAGCTCAAGGAGGCCTGCCTGCCTCTGTAGACTCCACCTCTGGGGGCAGGGCATAGCCAAACAAAAGGCAGCAGAAACCTCTGCAGACTTAAATGGCCCTGTCTGACAGCTTGGAAGAGAGTAGTGGTTCTCCCAACATGCAGCTTGAGATATGAGAACAGACAGACGGCCTTCTCAACTGGGTCCCTGACCCCTGAGTAGCCTAACTGGAAGGCACCCCCAAGTAGGGGCAGACTGACACCTTACACGGCCAGGTACTCCTCTGAGACAAAATTTCCGGAGGAATGATCAGGCAGCAACATTTGCTGTTCACCAATAATCGCTGTTCTGCAGCCTCCACTGCTGATACCCAGGCAAACAGCGTCTGGAGTGGACCTCTGGCAAACTCCAACATACCTGTGGCTAAGGGTCCTGACTGTTAGAAGGAAAACTAACATAATGAAAGGACATCCACACCAAAATGGCATCTGTACGTCACCATCATCAAAGACCAAAGGTAGATAAAACTGCAAAGGTGGGGAAAAATCAGAACAGAAAAACTGAAAATTCTAAAAATCAGAGCGCCACTCCTCCTCCAAAGGAACACAGCTCCTCACCAGCAACGGAACAAAGCTGGATGGAGAATGACTTTAACGAGTTAACAGAAGAAGGCTTCAGATGATCAAACTTCTCTGAGCTAAAGGAGGAAGTTCAAACCCATGGCAAAGAAGTTAAAAACCTTGAAAAAACATTAGATGAATGGCTAACTAGAATAACCAATGCAGAGAAGTCCTTAAAGGACCTGAGGGAGCTGAAACCCATGGCACAAGACCTACGTGATGAAAGCACAAGCCTCAGTAGCTGATTTGATCAACTGGAAGAAAAGGTATCAGTAATGGAAAATCAAATGAATGAAATGAAGAGAGAAGAGAAGTTTAGAGAAAAAGGAATAAAAAGAAACAAACAAAGCCTCCAAGAAATATGGGACTATGTGAAAAGACCAAATCTATGTCTGATTGGTGTATCTGAAAGTGACAGGGAGAATGGAACCAAGTTGGAAAACACTCTACAGGATATTATCCAGGAGAACTTCCCCAATCTAGCAAGGCAGGCCAACATTCAAATTCAGGAAATACAGAGAACACCACAAAGATACTCCTCGAGAAGAGCAACTCCAAGACACATAATTGTCAGATTCACCAAAGTTGAAATGAAGGAAAAAAGGTTAAGGGCAGCCAGAGAGAAAGGTCAGGTTACCCACAAAGCAAAGCCCCTCAGACTAACAGCTGATCTCTCGGCAGAAACTCTACAAGTCAGAACAGAGTGGGGGCCAATATTCAACGTTCTTAAAGAAAGGAATTTTCAACCCAGAATTTCATATCCAGCCAAACTAAGCTCATAAGTGAAAGAGAAATAAAATCCTTTACAGACAAGCAAATGCTGAGAGATTTTGTCACCAGCAGGCCTGCCCTAAAAGAGCTCCTGAAGGAAGCACTAAACATGGAAAGGAACAACTGGTACCAGCCACTGCAAAAACATGCCAAACTGTAAAGACCATCGAGGCTAGGAAGAAACTGCATTAACTAATGAGCAAAATAACCAGCGAACGTCATAATGACAGGATCAAATTCACACATACAATATTAACCTTAAATGTAAATGGGCTAAATGCTCCAATTAAAAGACACAGACAGGCAAATTGGATAAAGAATCAAGACCTATCAGTGTGCTGTATTCAGGAAACCCATCTCACGTGCAGAGACACACATAGGCTCAAAATAAAGGGATGGAGGAAGATCTACCAAGCAAATGGAAAACAAAAAAAGGCAGGGGTTGCTATCCTAGTCTCTGATAAAACAGACTTTAAACCAACAAAGATCAAAAGAGACAAAGAAGGCCATTACATAATGGGAAAGGGATCAATTCAACAAAAAGAGCAAATTATCCTAAATATATATGCACCCAATACAGGAGCACCCAGATTCATAAAGCAAGTCCTTAGAGACCTACAAAGAGACTTAGACTCCCACACAATAATAATGGGAGACTTTTTAACACCCTACTGTCAACATTAGACAGATCAATGAGACAGAAAGTTAACAAGGATATCCAGGAATTGAACTCAGCTCTATACCAAGCAGACCTAATAGACATCTATCTACAGAACTCTTCACCCCAAATCAACAGAATATACATTCTTCTCAGCACCACACCTATTCTGAAATTGACCACATAGTTGGAAGTAAAGCACTCCTCAGCAAATGTAAAAGAACTCAAATTACAGCAAACTGTCTCTCAGACCACAGTGCAATCAAATTAGAACTCAGGACTAAGAAACACTCAAAACTGCTCAACTACATGGAAACTGAACAACCTGCTTCTGAATGACTACTGGGTACATAATGAAATGAAGGCAGAAATAAAGATGTTCTTTGAAACCAACGAGAACAAAGACACAACATACAAGAATCTCTGGGACACATTTAAAGCAGTGTGTAGAGGGAAATTTATAGCACTAAATGCCCACAAGAGAAAGCAGGAAAGATCTAAAATTGACACCCCAACATCACAATTAAAAGAACTAGAGAAGCAAGAGCAAACACATTCAAAAGCTGGCAGAAGGCAAGAAATAACTAAGATCAGAGCAGAACTGAAGGAGATAGACACACAAAAAACCCTTCAAAAAATCAATGAATTCAGGAGCTGATTTTTTGAAAAGATCAACAAAATTGATAGACTGCTAGCAAGATTAGTAAAGAAGAAAAGAGAGAAGAATCAAATGGACGCAATAAAAAATGATAAAGGGGATACCACCACTGATCCCACAGAAATACAAACTACCATCAGAGAATACTATAAACACGTCTATGCAAATAAACTAGAAAATCTAGAAGAAACAGATGAATTCCTCCACACATACCCCCTCCCAAGACTAAACCAGGAAGAAATTGAATCTCTGAATAGACCAATAACAGGCTCTGAAATTGAGGCAATAACTAATAGCTTGCCAACAAAAACAAGTCCAGGACCAGACGGATTCACAGCCGAATTCTACCAGAGGTAAAAGGAGGAGCTGGTACCATTCCTTCTGAAACTATTCCAATCAATACAAAAAGAAGGAATACTCCCTAACTCATTTTATAAGGCCAGCATCATCCTGATACAAAAGCCTGGCAGAGACACACACACAAAAAAGATAATTTTAGACCAATATCCCTGATGAGCATCAATGCAAAAATCCTCAATAACATACTGGCAAAGCAATCCAGCAGCACATCAAAAAGCTTATCCACCATGATCAAGTGGGCTTCATCCCTGGGATGCAAGGCTGGTTCAACATATGCAAATCAATAAACATAATCCATCATATAAACAGAACAAATGACAAAAACACATGATTTTCTCAATAGATGCAGAAAAGGCCTTTGACAAAATTCAACAACGATTCACGATAAAAAATCTCAATAAATTAAGTATTGATGGGACATATCTCAAAATAATAAGAGCTATCTATGACAAACCCACAGTCAATATCATACTGAATGGGCAAAAACTAGAAGCATTCCCTTTGAAAACTAGCACAAGACAGGGATGTCCTCTCTCACCACTCCTATTCAACATAGTGTTGGAAGTTCTGGCCAGGGCAATCAGGCAGCAGAAGGAAATAAAGAGTATTCAATTAGGAAAAGAGGAAGTCAAATTGTCCCTGTTTGCAGATGACATGATTGTATCTCTAGAAAACCCCATCATCTCAGCCCAAAATCTCCTTAAGCTGATAAGCAACTTCAGCAAAGTCTCAGGATACAAAATCAATGTGCAAAAATCACAAGCATTCTTATACATCAATAACAGACAAACAGAGAGCCAAATCATGAGTGAACTCCCATTCACAATTGCTTCAAAGAGAATAAAATACCTAGGAATCCAACTTACAAGGGATGTGAAGGACCTCTTCAAGGAGAGCTACAAACCACTGCTCAATGAAATAAAAGAGGACACAAACAAATGGAAGAATATTCCGTGCTCATGGGTAGGAAGAATCAATATTGTGAAAATGGCCATACTGCCCAAGGTAACTTATAGATTCAATGCCATCCCCATCAAGCTACCAATGACTTTCTTCACAGAATTGGAAAAAACTACTTTAAAGTTCATATGGAACCAAAAAAGAGCCCGCATTGCCAAGTCAATCCTAAGCAAAAAGAACAAAGCTAAGAGGCATCATGCTACCTGACTTCAAACGATACTACAAGGCTACAGTAACCAAAACAGCATGGTACTGGTACCAAAACAGAGATATAGACCAATGGAACAGAACAGAGCCCTCAGAAATAATGCCACATATCTACAACCATCTGATCATTGACAAACCTGACAAAAACAAGCAATGGGGAAAGAATTCCCTATTTAATAAATGGTGCTGGGAAAACTGACTAGCCATATGTAGAAAGCTGAAACTGGATCCCTTCCTTACACCTTATACAAAAATTAATTCAAGATGGATTAAAGACTTAAATGTTAGACCTAAAACCATAAAAACCCTAGAAGAAAACCTAGGCAATACCATTCAGGACATAGGCATGGGCAAGGACTTCATGTCTAATACACCCCAAGCAATGGCAACAAAAGCCAAAATTGACAAATGGGATCTAATTGAACTAAAGAGCTTCTGCACAGCAAAAGAAACTACCATCAGAGTGAACAGGCAACCTACAGAATGGGAGAAAATTTTTACAATCCACCAATCTGACAAAGGGCTAATACCCAGAATCTGCAAAGAACCCAAACAAATTTACAAGGAAAAAGCAAACAACCCCATCAAAAAGTGGGTTAAGAATATGAACAGACACTTCTCAGAAGAAGACATTTATGCAGCCAACAGGCACATGAGAAAATGCTCATCATCACTGGTCATCAGAGAAATGCAAATCAAAACCACAATGAGATACCATCTGATGCCAGTTAGAAGGTCAGTCATTAAAAAGTCAGGAAACAACAGGTGCTGGAGAAGATGTGGAGAAACAGGAATGCTTTTACACAGTTGGTGGGAGTGTAAATTGGTTCAACCATTGTGGAAGACAGTGTGGTGATTCCTCAAGGATCTAGAACTAGAATTACCATTTGCCCCAGCAATCCCATTACTGTGTATGCACCCAAATGATTATAAATCATGCTACTATAAAGACACATGTACACGTATGTTTATTGTGGCACTATTCACAATAGCAAAGATTTGGAACCAACACAAATGTCCATCAATGATAGACTGAATTAAGAAAACATGGCACACACACTCTGAAATACTATGCAGTCATTAAAAAGGATGAGTTCATGTCCTTTGCAGGGACATGGATGAAGCTGGAAACCATCATTCTCAGCAAACTATCACAAGGACAGAAAGCCAAACACCGCATGTTCTCACTCAAAGGTGGGAATTGAACAATGAGAACACTTGGACACAGGGCAGAGAACATCACACACTGGGGCCTGTCAAGGGTCGGAGGCTGGGGAAGGTACAGCATTAGGAGAAATACCTAACATAAATGATGAGTTCATGGGTACAACAAACCAACATGGCACACGTATACCTATGTATCAAACCTGCATGTTGTGCACATGTACCCTATAATAATAAATAAACAAATAAAAGATTTTAAAACTCCATATGATTCTACACAAGTAGTTACCATGTGACAATAAGCAGCAGAGTAGACCTCTAATGTCTGTAATTTTGGGGGTTAATTTCCTTTGTCACTTCTTAGTTTGTAAAACAAATGAGACATTAAGTATACACCATGCTTCATGTCATATTTTCCTATCATAAATACAGGAAAAATGGTATGAATTGTGATACAATATAATGAAATTATTTGTTTCATAGTTCTCAGAACATAGCCACATAAATAAATGCTGCCTTTCAAAGCAATCAAAAAAAGGAAAGAAAAATAATACAATTAAAATTCTTTATTAGAAAATATTATTTCAATACAAAATAAAATAGCAAAAATAGAAGAACAAAAGACATGAGAGAAGAGACACAATTTAAATTCAAAAACATATATACTTCAAGTAAAATAATGAAAAAAATATGTATCATGCAAATAGCAACCACAATAAAGATGAACTGGCTATAACTAATATAAGACAAAAAAAGGCATCTAAAACAAAAACATCATTATATATAACAGGGGAAATTGTTAAGAAATTAGAGAAGCCCAAAGAAAAATATAATAATTATAAACACGTATGCACTTAACACAGTACAAAAATAAATAAGGTAAAAATGCAAAATTTAAGACAGAACTATACAATTAAACAATAATAACGGGAGACTTCAAAACCACTCTTTCAATAACAGATAGGACCAACAAGAAAACAGAAGACTGGTACAACACTGTAAGTCAACTGTACTATATTGACACATATGCCATCCTAAAAAACAACTAAATATATATCCTTCGCATGTATACCTTAAGCATTCTCTGGTATAGATGACAGCTAGGCCACAAAGCAATCATAAGTAAGGTTAAATGGAAATAACATAACGTGAGTTCTCCAAACACAATGAAATGAAATCAGTAACGGGAAAAGTTGGGGGAAACTCACAAATATATAGAAATTTAAAACACAATCCAAAAGTTTGCAGGATTGACTTCCAAAAAGAAGTCAAAAGAGAAATCAGAAAGTACTTTGAAATAAATTAAAACAAACACAAAACATACCACAGATTCATGCAATGCAGCAAAAGTAATGATAAAAGATATAAATTTACACTTGTAACTGCCTTTTTAAGAAAGAAGAAAAAAATCAATTCAATTGAATTTACTACTATAAGATAGTGGGGGGAGAAGGAACAGAATAAACTAAAAGCATGCAGAAGAAAGGAAGTAATAAAAATTAGAGTGGAAATTGAGGAAATAGATAATGAAAAGCAATAAAGAAACCTAATGAAACCAAAAGCTGGTTCTTTCAAAAGAGGAACAAAATTGGTAAGCCATTAGCTAGTTTAACTAAAAAAAAGAGAACACTAAAATTACTAGAATCTGAAATAAAAGAAAAATAATTACTACTAACCTTACATAAGCGAATAATATGAACATTGTGGGTGTATCAAAAGTTTAGATTATTTAGATGAAGTGGATGAATTCTTAGAAACAAACTACTGAAACTAATTCAAGAATAAACAGGAATCTCACTAGACCTATAACAAGTGAGGACAGTGATTCAATGCCCACAAGAAAAATCCTAAGGTCAGAAAGTTTTATCCATGAATGTTACTGAATCTTCAATGAAGAACTAATATGAATTTGGCCAAGTGCAGCGGCTCACGCCTGTAATCCCAGACTTTGAGAGGCCTAGGCAGCAGATCACTTGAGGCCAGCAGTTTGAGACCAGCCTACCAACATGGTAAAACCCCATCTCTATTAAAAATACAAAAATTTGCCAGGCATGGTCATGAGCACCTTTAATCCCAGCTACTTAGGAGGCTGAGGCAGGAGAATTGCTTGAATCTAGGAGGTGAATATTGCCGGGAGCCGAGATCATGCCACTGCACTCCAGCATGGGCAACAGAGCAACACTCTGTAAATAATGATGATAATAATAACTTATTCATAAACTCTGCAAAAAGAAAAGAAACATTTTCCAATTCCTCTTATTTACCCTGATGTCAAAACCATACAAAAATATAAAAGGGGCTGGGCGCAGCGGCTCATGCCTGTAATCCCAGCACTTTGGGAGGCGAAGGTGGGCAGATCACGAGGTGAGGAGATCAAGACCATCCTGGCTAATACAGTGAAACCCCATCTCTACTAAAAAAAAAATACAACAAATTAGCCGGTCTTGGTGGCACATGCCTATAGTCCCAGTTATTTGGGAGGCTAAGGCAGGAAAATCGCTTGAACCCAGGAGGCAGAGAGGTTGCAGTGAGTCGAGATCGCGCCAGTGCACTCCAGCCTGGTGACAGAGGGAGACTCCATCTCAAAAAAAAAAAAAAAAAATGATAAGAAAACTACAGTACAGTGTGTTAACTATGGAATGAAAAACAAAAAAATTCAACAAAATATCAGCAAACTGAATGCAGCAACATACATATTAACCACCATGACAAACAGGGATTTATCTTGGGCAAGCAAGTTTGGCTAATCATTCAAAAAATATTAATGTTACACATCACATCAATAGAACAAAACACAAAAATCACATGATTATCTCAAGGATAGGAGAGAAAAAGATCTGATAAAGTCCAATAATATTTGTGATAAAAATATGAATGGAAGTAAACTTCTTCAAACTGATAAAAGACATCTGCAAAAACCCACAAGTAACATCACACTTAACAGTGAAAGCCTGCATACATTTCCAAAAGATAAAGAACAAGACAAGAATACTGCTTACACAGCTTCTATTTAACATTGTACTGTAAGTTTTAAAATGTATGAAAATTACCAAACATTATTAACAGACTCACAATTCTAGACTTCAAGAGTTACTTTCAATAAATTGGTAATCTGATTTTATAATTGATGTGAAATTACATGTAACACTACAGGAGGGGGAAGTAAGAAGACTCACAATTCTAGATTTCAAAAGTTACTGCAAGATTCAAGCAAGATGGACAAACAGAGGCAGTCAAGTGAAACAGCTGCCACTGAGGGACCAGGATTGTTGCAGAGTAGGTCACTAACAGCTGAACAGACAGGCCCCTGTAACAACTGTTTCAGCACTGAGTGGTTAAGCTAAATAATAAGAGCAAGTGCTCTTATCCAAAGCCTAGAATGTAACAAAAGCCCACTAAGAGTTTTGCCCAGGCTTTTCCTAGGCCTTGAAGCATGATAAGATAACAAAGGAATTCTTAATGGGACGAGTTTAGAATTAAACACGTTTTACTGTTGGTGTGAAGAAACTCCCTAGCCCTCCGTAAACAAGTTTTATTGGAGATCTGAAAGAACTCCCCAAGCCGCCATGATTTAGCGGGAGACAAGATAAGGGTAATCACCTCAGCACCCGGATCCATCTAGATTGAATAAATTTACTGAAGCTCCTGAGAAGGGTCTTCAAAGTTTGGACTTTAGTTACAGATTAGAAGAAATTAATCACTTATATCTTTAGATGAATGCACACTTACACAAACACATATACCTGAGAAGGTATATAAGCTCTGGAAAACTTAATTTTGAGTTGGTCTGGCAATATTTTCCAGGCCTCCTCTCTGTACCCAATTACAGAAATGAACTCCCTCCTTTCTCAGTTCATTTGTGTCTCTTTATTGGGCTGTGAGAATAAGCAGCCCAACACTTAGTTTGGTCTGGTACCAGGATGCCTGGCATACTCCTACCAGGTCTTCAGAGGGAGGCACTGAGAGTGCATGGAGGGAAAACACAGAAGCTGAGCTGAAGTGGGGAGGAAGCTGGGAACCAGCAAGGGATCTGAACCAGGCGGAGATAACTAAAATGACAGGAACAGAATTCCTAATAGAGACAGAGACCAAAATCATTGAGATGCAGGACTATGCATAACCCAATTAAAGGAAGCTAAGAACCACAAATAAATGATAACAGGAGCTGACAGACAAAATACTTAGCATAGAAAAAAACGTAACCAGCCTGATAGGGCTGAAAAACCTTTACAAGAATTTCATCATTCAACTGCACGTATTAACAGCAGAACTGGCCAAGATGAGAAAAGACTCTCAGTGCTTGAAGTGTATTTTTCTGAAATAAGACATTCAGAGAATAACAGAGAAAAAAAAGAAAGAAAGAAATTAATGAAACCTCTAAGAAATATGGGATTATGTAAAGAGACCAAATGTATGACACATTAGTGTCTCTGAAAGAGTCAAGCAGAGTGTAAGCAATTTGGAAAACCAAGCCAATGGAGAATCTAGAACAGGCAGGGACCAGTGCTCAACATTGGAGTCAAAGACATGCTGTCCCTCATTGGCTATGGGAAATGAGGCTACTAAGTCAACCTCCCTTGGCGTCAGTTTCATCATATGATACTGTACAGCTAATGCAGCCTTTGTAGGCTCTCAATGAAACATCTACATAAGTGCTTAGAGCACCTAGCATTTGAACACCTCAATCACAGAGTCAATGAACGCTAATAGGGAGAAACCCACAGGCAAAAACAGCATGGTAAGGCCTCATGGAGAGGAAACAAGCACAGGGTAAGACCCATGGCAGGGGCTGTCTAACACTGGAGTCCCAAACTCTGGAAGACCACCTTAGACTGAGAAGCTATGCAACAAACTAAGAAAATAAACTTTTATCTAAGGAATGCAAGCCTCCCATAGGTAGCACCCACATCCCACTTCCCACCTTAAGATAAGTAGTCATCTCTTGAAGCTGCTTGCTGTATAGATGCTACAAGTATTATGGCCACACGTTAGCTAAAAAACCATCAACCAATGCCACATATTGGACACTACAACCAACGAACTACAGCTTAACAATATGTAGCCAATTGCTAATCAATGCTATTTCTGTAATCCAATGACAATTCATAACAAACAACTTTGTTATAGGCCACTTGCTGTCCACTTTTTGCCTTTACGAATTTGTTTATCACATACCCATGTTAACAAAACTTTGGTGCTCCTATCTAAGTTTACTAGGTTCTGTGTTTTCCAGCAACTTTTCCACATCTTGTATCAAATAGACATTTTCAAAGTATGTTTCATCCCTCAGCTTTTTCCTTTAGTTTGATATTTAGAGTACAGTAAGCAGGGTTCAGAGTCCACTCCTCTGACCATCCAACACTCATCCAGGAGTCAGCACTGTGGACCCAACATCTAGGCAGGCAGAAGACCTTACATTCTTCTGCTAATGTAAGGGGTTAGTCCTCCACAATTCAAATCTCTGTACCCCTTGGTTGAGATCAAACTGTTTGAGCTGTTCTTTCCAACTCTCCCTTTGCAGAATTCATCTAGCCTATCTCTGGCCATGGGTAGGAGTTTCAAGTTTCAGGAGAAAAAAACAAAAACAGAAATCAAAACAGCCTTCTCTGCCTCAAGAACAGAAGCGCAGGTCACAGCAGGAAAACAACTCTACAGAGAACTGCCTTCTCTGCCATTGTCTTCAGGAAGAAATCTGTGTCAGGCTATTGGCAGTGTACCACCAATGGTTTCACTTCTTTTGGCCCAGAATTACATTGTGTGTATTTAAAATTGCAGCTGCGACCTACTGTTTGTAATGTGGACTTGCATTTTCATCTGTAACCAATTACTGATAGTTTCAAATCAAAAGGTACATGAAGATGAGTTCTCTCACTCCAGAGTTAAGAGACACTTGCTCCCTCCAAATCCAACTGGGTGCTCTAAGTGACTAGACGTATTACAGAGGTGTTTGGACAGCTGTCCATGATATGTAGCAGTCTCAGAGACCTTGCAAAAAAAGGACTTTCAGAGAGTTTCAGCATAGCCAGAAGGTGTATATTAGGATTGGTCACCTGGCAACTTAGCAACTCAGCCACTGCAAGGGGATGAGAAATTCCAAGATGTATAAGACAAATTAATGACTCTTGGGTAACACCTTGGCTGAGTGACTTGCATAAGCAGCACAGTTCAACCCCAAACACATTTCTGCCCTAGGTCACTTTCAAAAGGTTCCTAAATTATGGGAAATCAAGCTCTGTGCATTCTTTTTTTTTTTTTTTTTTTTTTTTTTTTTTTTGAGACGGAGTCTCGCTCTGTCACCCAGGCTGGAGTGCAGTGGCGCGATCTCCAATTACTGCAAGCTCCGCCTCCTGGGTTCACGCCATTCTCGTGCCTCAGCCTCCCCAGTAGCTGGGACTACAGGCGCCCGCCACCACACCCGGCTAATTTTTTTTTTTTTTTTGTATCTTTAGTTGAGATGGGGTTTCACTGTGTTAGCCAGGATGGTCTCAATCTCCTCACCTTGTGATCCGCCCTCCTTGGCCTCCCAAAGTGCTGGGATACAGGCATGAGCCACTGCACTCGGCCAGATCTGTGTATTCTTTTGATGGGCAATCTTCTTTTATAAAAGCAGCTGGTTTTATGTACAACAAAAACGGGGTGTCATCAATAATATCTGGAAAAATAAGCCCACGTAACCTGGGATGGTCATAAGCAGCTACAGCCTAAATGAAGGTCTTTTGAAATGCTCAAAGTAATTTATTTGCATGCGTGATTGGAAAAAGTTTGTTTTAAAACCAGAAAAAAAAATAAATGAGAGAGTTGGCCTTGATTTTTTGCAATGGGAAAGGACTGAACCTAACACCTGGAACCAGTGCTCCTTATAGTTAGGAGCAACATTTTCTACAAAATGATGGCCTGTGGTAAAAAAAAAAAATCTGCCTTCCAACAAACCAAATTAATGAGAAAATCTGTATATCTATACCAAGCCTAAGTGAAAAAATTAATGACAACAACTGAGCAGGGCTGAGTTCAAATTTACATTACCCTTAATTTAGGAAGATGCCTGTGAAGAAAACAAAAATGTTCCGTCTAAAATTGTGGTAAGAGTTATTAAGAAATTATTTTAGGCAGAGAGGAAAAAACGGGGTCCTTGGAAGATTTTTCGCAGCTCTTGTCTAGCATGAAAACCCTGGGTCTTAGACCTAGGCTGTCAACCTTTAATATGCAAATGCCAGCGTTAGAAACTGGGTTCACTCAACATGGCGATTCCCACCTTTGTCCTCTTGCTCTTTCCCCAACACGTGCCTGGCAGCATAGCCACCCCCACATATCTCCAGGTGTTTGGAACACGAGGGCACTCTGCATTTGCATATTTAAAAGGCTAGGGTGGCCAGTTTTCTCTCGGGCTACGTGAAAGACATGCCTGGTCAAACCAATACCCTGAGCCTTGTGCGAATCAGACACCGCCTCCTCCAGCCATCTAATTTAGCTGGCTAACATTACCTGAAAGCGGGGTTTCCTCTCTCAGCTTTGGATCCTCCTACCTCTCTCTCTCTACAAGGGAGCTGCTTCTTTTTTTCTTCCCCCTTCTTTCTTCCCTGTTAAACTCCCTACTCCTTAAAATCTGTCCACATGTGTCCGTGTTGTCTTACCTAATTCTAAGCAAGGCAAGAACCCTGGTGTTCCTCCACTCATCGGAGCTTTATCAAAATCCTAAAGAGTGCAGAGCTGGAGGAGGTTAAAAAGTAGGAAGATCTCCTAAAAACACAAAAAATGGCTAATTTTTTAGGGCGTGGTTGGGGGCACCTGTGATCCCAGCTACTCGGGAGGCTGAGGCAGGAGAATGGCGTGAACCCGGGAGGCGAAGCTTGCAGTGAGCCGAGATGGCGCCACTGCACTCCAGCCTGGGAGACAGACACAGCGAGACTCCGTCTCAAAAAATATGTAGGAGGATATTCTTCCACTCACTCTGCCTACCTGATAGTAGGACAGCAATTTACAAAGACAAGGTCTTACTGTCCTCTTGGCTGCCTTTCCCATCTAAAGATAGGCCTCTTAATGTTCCTTGTCAGCTCAGAGACAAAAGCATCGAGGATAGAGGGACAGATTTACTCTTCCCATAAACTTATCTTTCCACATTTTCAGGCCTTTTGGAGCCTAAAGGTGGTCTTTTCTTTGTCTTGTCACTATATAGGCTATAAGTTTTATTTTGTTTTTAGAAACTTCCCATTTAAGTCCTCCAGAACATTTTTATGTTCAAACTGCATGCTTAACTTCCCTACAGGATTTATAAAAGGCACTCCACCCTTTCCCCTGACCTTTTGCAGTTCCTTGGAGATGTAAATCTTATGTCTGGGAGATGTTATATCCAGAGATATATCCAAATGTTATATCCAAGCAGCCAAGCAACATTTCAGCTAAGATCCGGTTTGAGGCAGAGTTAAAGTTCTTTAGATCAACCACAAAATTCCTTTCCCCAGTGCATACTGCTAGCTTAGGAGCAAAACATTTCTGTTAGAACTACTTATTCTGATTTGAACTATTTATTTTGGATTATTTATGTAACTCTTGATTTTGAGGGGGTATCGTGTGTTATGCTTGCCATCTACATGAACACCTTTTCTTTTCATTTTACCTACTGTCTCTTTTAACCTTCCATCTGTATGGCACCAGAAATGCTGGGCATTTGTATGTACATGATCAGCTTAGAAGCTGAAACCCTGCAAGAAAATTGCCAGATAGTTGTGGGTTTCAACTATTGGCAGCTAGTGAAAGTTTCCTTTAAGTAGTCTGTGGTAGGGGTATAGATCTTGGAAAGGCTGCAAAATTTTTGCTTCCTCTTTGATGCTATAAAGGGCTTTTGGGTTTTGGCCTCATGTATGTTTATTCGTGTTGCTTTTGAGTCATTTTTTTCATTAATATCTTTGATTTAAAATTCTCCTTTATATTTAGAATGTAATAGGAAACTTTTATTGTTATTTGTTTACACCGTTTCTTGTAAGTTATTTGGAAACATATACCCAGAAAGAAGAAAATATTTCATTAAAACATTTCAACTACCAGCACCTTTTAAAAGTAATCATCCTAGACCTGTAACAAACAAATTTGGCTCCATCTCCAAAATCTTTCTTGCTGTAAACTTGAGAAACAAAAAGCCAACAAATAGGAATGTTTGGTACTTGCTCAACGAAAATCTGATAAAAAGACTTTTCATGAAGTCTATTTAAAAAGAAAAAAAAATGCTGGGCGCAGTGGCTCACGCCTGTAATCCCAGCACTTGGAAAGTTCCAGGAGGATTACCTGAGGTCAGGAGTTTTAGACCAGCCTGGCCAACATGGTGAAAAACCGTCTCTACTAAAACTATGAAAATTAGCCAGGTTTGCTGGTGGGCACCTGTAATCCTAGCTACTCGGGAGGCTGAGGCAGGAGAATGGGTTGAACCTGGGACACAGAGATTGCAGTGAGCCGAGATTGCACCGTTGCCCTCCAGCCTGGGTGACAAGAGTAAGACTTCATCTCAAAACAGACAAAAAAAGAGCTCTATAGTCAAAAGTCAACTTAAAAATTGATAGTTAGGCCCAGTTTGGTGGCTCATGTCTATAACCCAGCACTTTGGGAGGCCAAGGCAGGTAGATCCCTTGAGATTAAAAGTTGAAGATCAGCCTGACAAAAATGGCAAAACCCCACCTCTAGTAAAAAATACAAAAATTAGTTGAGCATGATGGCTCATCCCTGTACTCATCCCAGCTACTCAGGAGGCTGAGGCAGGATAATCGCTTGAGCCCAAGAGGCAAGGCTACAGTGAGACAAGATCACACCACTGCGCTCCAGCCTGGGCGATGGAGTAAAACTCCACCTCAAAAACAAATGAACAAAAAGTTAATATTTAGGCTATATATGTTTATTTGTGTGAGGCCTCTATTCTCTCAATAATAGCTACTCCATCTACTGAATTTCTCTGTTCTTAAAATCCCTGCCAACTATATGTGTTCCCTCTGTTTCTCCTCTTATTGACAAAATTTTTGCCAAGGATAATATAACACTTCATTGACCTTTTGAAAAACACAATCTCCTTCATGCTAAAAAAAAAAAAACTCTCAAAAAACTAGGTATTGATGGAATGTATCTCAAAATAATAAGAGCTATTTATCACATATCCATAGCCATGAATGGGCAAAAACTGGAAGCATTCCCTTTGAAAACTGGCACAAGACAAGGAGGCCTTCTCTCACCACTCCTCTTCAACATAGTATTGGAAGTTCTGGCCAGGGCAGTCAGGCGAGAGAAAGAAAGAAAGTGTACTCAGCTAGGAAAAGAGGAAGTCAAATTGTGTCTGTTTGCAGATGACATACTGTATATTTAGAAACTCCATCATCTCAGCCCAAAATCTCTTTAACCTGATAAGCAACCTCAGCAAAGTCTCAGAATACAAAACCAAAGTGCAAAAATCACAACCAATCCTATACACCAATAATAGACAAACAGAGAACAAAATCATGAGTGAACTCCCATTCACAATGGCTGCAAAGGGAATAAAATACCTGGGAATTCAACTTATAAGGGATGTGAAGAATCTCTTCAGGGAAAACTACAAACCACTGCTCAAGAAAATGAGAGGACACAAACAATGGAAAAATTATTTATGAGGCCAGCATCATCCTGATGCCAAAATCTGGCAGAGACACAACAAAAAAGGAAAATTTCAGGCCAATATCTATGACCAAGGAATGATGAACATTGATGTGAAAATTCTCAATAAAATACTGGCAAACCAAATTCAGCAGCACATGAAAAAGTTTATGCACCACAATCAAGTCAGCTTCATCCCTGGGATGCAAGGCTGGTTCAACATATGCAAATCAATAAATGTAATCTGTCACATAAACAGAACCAATGACAGAAAACACATGATTATCTCAATAGATGCAGAAAATGGTCCTACTGCCCAAAGTTATTTATAGATTCAATGCTGTCATCAAACTACCATTGACTTTCTTCACAGAATTAGAAAAAACTACTTTAAATTTTATATGGAACCAAAAAAGAGCCTACATGGCCAAGACAATCCTAACCAAAAAGAACAAAGCTAGAGGCATCACACTACCTGACTTCAAACTATACTACAAGGCTACAGTAAGCAAAACATCATGGTACTGGTACCAAAACAGATACATAGACCAATGGAACAGAACAATCTTGGCAAAATAAGTTTTCCAAATTAACTGAGCCCTGTCTCAGATATTCAGGGTTCACATAGTTAAAAACTGTGTTTCTTAGGTTTTCTCTATGGGTTAAGGATAGTAGTAGTTAAAATTCTAAGTAATGTACAACTACTAAAGCTACAAATGATTAAAAAGTGACAGCAGGTATGTAAATCAATGACTTGACAGGGTTTCATTTAACCAATTTGTAACATCATCATCCCAATTGGCTTTTTGGTGGTCTTAAAATTCCTCACTGAGACAACTTCTCTTTGACCCTCTAGTAACAGCCCCCTGTCCCCCACACACACATGCACCACTACCTACACATGGCACAGGACTATCCAGAAATGAGCTTGTAAGACAAAATAAAATATAAAGCCTCAAACCATCTGAATATACACGTCCTCTCAGCCAAAAACATTCCAAAGATAACCTGAAAAACTAGTTCAGGCCATAATGAGAAGGCGGAGTCACACATGCCTCATTACCATTAACATCAACACAGACCTTGGTACTGATAGAACAGATCTTTTAAGTTTGACAGGAAACATTTACAATCTATTTTCTCTGAAGCCTCTCTGATACCTGGAGGCTATTTGCATGACAAACCTTGGTATCCACAATCCCTTATTATCGCCCAGACATTTCTTTCTGTTGATTGCAGATATTTACTCAAATGACTGACAATAAGAAAATCTTTCAATCCACTTAAAATCTGGAACCCAGATTTCTAATGGTCCTACTTTTCTGAACCAAACCACTATATATATTACATGTATTGATTAATGTCTCATTTCTTCCTAAATGGATAAAAGCAAATTGTATCTCAACTACCTTTGGCACATGTTGTCAGGACATTTGAAGGTGGTGTCACAGGCATGTCCTTAACCTTGGCAAAATAAACTTCTAAATTAATTAAGACGTTTCTCAGATTGTTTTTGGATTACAAGTCTTATTGAGAAACTCTCTGACGTGCAGATGTTTACCATCGATGCTTTCAAGGAAAAAATCTTCTGACTAAAAGAGAAAAATGAGGAAAAAAAAAAAAGAAAAAACTTTTAGCTGAGGAAAGCAAGCATTCTCTAAACTACCAGACCCAGAAAACGTCAACAAACTAATAGGTATTGAATGAATGAACAAATGAATGAATGGAGGAATGAATAAGCAAATGAACAGAGGCAAGGTGCTTAAAAATAGATAGCTTTGGCCGGGAACAGTGGCTCACGCCTGTAATCCCAGCACTTTGGGAGGCTGAGGTGGGCGGATCATGAGTTCAGGAGATCAAGACCAACCTGGCTAACACGGTGAAACCCCATCTCTACTAAAAACACAAAAAAATTAGCCGGGTATGGTGGCAGGCACCTGTAGTCCCAGCTATTTGGGAGGCTGAGGCAGGAGAATGGTGTGAACCCTGGAGGCAGAGCTGTCAATGAGCCGAGATTGCGCCACTGCACTCCAGCCTGGGCAACAGAGCGAGACTGCCTCTCAAGAAAAAAAAATAGGAAAAATGGATACAGTTTTGGCAGATGAGTAGCATTCTGGAAAAAGCACTGGATCAGTGGTCAGAAAATTCAGCTGAAGTTCTTGCCTATTAAAATGCCCGTTCAACACATCTCTTGGCCTGGCAGTCAAATGCAAAAAGAGAAATTTGAACAAAATTATTCTAGCTCTTCTAGTGTGAAAACTGTGGGAATCTAAGTTACATGGTTGTGTATAGCACCCTTGACATAACTTACTCCACCTTTTAAAAAAGACTTTATTTTCTATTTCATATGGTACTCTCTCAACAAAGATGTTTTGTTTAATAAACAAAGGGTTTTTTTTGTTTAGGTTTGCATCCATCCAGATGTGGGGACATAAACAAGCACACTCTTCCACTGTCAGTCCTCCACAGAGGACGCTGTGACTATAAAAGAGCAGAACTTCAGCAGCTTAAAACAGCTGTCGTAGCTGACACCATCCTGCAGTCACTCATTATAAGAACCTGGCATATGCTGCTGAAGACTCTACTACCTCAAAGACTGTTCCTTGCACGACTCAGAGACAATCCAGCCCAGACTATGCCTCCTTTTGTCTTCTAAGTAAGAACTAAGCTCTAATTTTTTTTATCTTGCCTAAATTCCTATCCAATGGGTCTAAGGAGTCATGCCCTACAAACCATAAATTATCATCAGATGCCTTTTATTTAAAACTATACAGTGACTTACTCTCCAATGTGATTCTGGCATAACAAGGAAGAAAATCAAAATATTTTATCCCAGAATATATTTGCTTGCCATACTTTTTTCTTTTTTTAGATGGAATCTAGCTCTGTTGCCCAAACTGGAGTGCAATGGCACCATCTTGGCTCAGTGCAACCTCCACTTCCCAGGATCAAGCAATTCTCCTGCCACAGCCACACAAAGAGCTGGGACTACAGAGGCGCCACTATGCCCAGCTAATTTTTTGTATTTTTAGTAGAGATGGGGGTTTCACTGTGTTAGCCAGGATGATCTCAATCTCCTGACCTCATGATCTGCACACTTTGGCCTCCCAAGCCATACCTTGAAATTTCCCTGCAAAAGTCTCTTGTGGGAAAAATCCACATTCTATAGAGAATCCACTTTCACCTTTTTTCTTCTTCCTTCCTTTCCAGATCCAGGAGAGAATCAACTAAGAGCCAGGCATTCTTTTAAATCTGATAACAAACACTTTACAACCTGCTGTCTCTGAAGTCTGCTATCTGAGAGCTTCCTCTGTACACTAAAACCTGGTCTCCACAATCCTTTATTTTAACCTGAGCATTCCTTTCTACCAGGTCTTTAGACAAACATAACCAATTGTCAACCAGAAAACGTTTAAATTTACCTATAACCCCCCTGCTCTCAGTTGTCCTGCCTTTCTTAACTAAACCAATGCATTTCTTAAATGTATTTGATTGATATCTCATGCCTCTTCTAAATATATAAAACCAGACTGTACCCTGCTCACCTTGGGCACATGTTCTCAGAACCTCTTGAGGGCTGTGTGACAGGTTATGGTCACTCACATTTCGCTCAAAATAAATGTCTTGAAATATTTTACACAGTTTAACTCTTTTCATCAACAATAATTTGGTGCTTAAATACAGGAGCCCCAGAGAAGACTCAGGGCCCAGAAGGAGTTATCTGAACTTGGAGCTAAGGTACTAGCGGGGCCCACTGAAAACTACCTGATTTCCAGTTGTCCTTTGGTGGAACTGTTAAGTCTCCTGAGTCCCACCTCCCTTTAGTTGATGGTGCTTGATTTATTCTGAGCTGATTTTCTGCTAGGAAGTTGTTGTCTAAGGATCCTAATTCCAGTTCAGAGATGCATTCTAAAGGGAATTCTCTATTGCTTTTTCTCCTAAAATTTATCTTGATTTGGTTTTTCTGTGTGCATTTGTGTGACGAACTGAACTGCTGTTTTCATAGATAAATGAGAGACTGAGTTTTTTATCTGACAAGAAAAGGCATTTGCTCCTCCCACCGAAAGGCACTCCTGGGTGACCGGGTGACTTGTGGGAGTGTCTGGTATTTTGTTGCAGCCATAAAATACTAAACTAATAAATATCCTTGACTTAAGGATTTTATATCAGGAAACTAACATGAAGATTTTTAAAAACACTGTTAAGGTGATAGGAAAACGTCTAGTAAAAACTTAACAATATAACAAATCCAGATATGTAGAGGAAGAAACTAGAGGAAATGTTCTGAAATTTTCATATTAGTTTGTATTCCTTTGGTGGGAACCAACATTAGGCCAACCACACTGTAAACAAATCTAGATTTCTGTCTTTGTTTTCCGCATATCTCCTACATGATGTCCATACCCAGGACCAGCTACTTAATTTTTGGGGCCCATGACAAAATGAGAATTCAAGAATCCTCATTCAAAAAATATTAAGAATTGCAAATCATAAAGAATCATAAAATTCTATATCGCTATTTTCAAGCCTTGAAGAATTGACTGAATCTTAGCTTTGAGCATCAAATAGTTGCCACAATCACAAGCAAGATGGCTAGGTATATAATGTGCCTCCATAAAAAAGCATGTTACCACTTAAGATATAGTGTTTGCCATGATGTCAAATCTGAATCTGATCAAAGCCTTCAGATTATATTATAGCTGTTGGGAAATACCAATACCAGAGAAACAAGTTCAACATCACATTGGGGATAAAATCGGTAGAATCCAGACTGTGGAAAGTATACCCATCAAGTTATTTTGTTTCTTCAACATATAAACTCCAGCTAGGAGGAAGGAGCAGGAGAGAGGTGAGGAAGAAACAAGATGAAGGAGCAACTTAAGAAATATAACATACATAGTGCCAGTCATATTTGGATCCACGTTCATACAAACAAACTGAAAAAATACTGTAATACTTATAAGACAATTTTATTTTCCTAATCAATAATGACACTGAACATCTAAAACATTTACTATGACAAATCAAAGTACAGCTATGTATGTAAGCATGCTACCATTTATGACACTGGAAGTTGTTGTTTTAGTCATTATATAATAATTATTTTGCATTAAAGTCTTTCATTAAAAATATTTTGGCAGTGGCTGCCCAATATATTTTTACTGTATATTTTCTATCTTTTTACTTTCTGCTTTTTTGTATCATTAATTTATGTATTTTTCTTGCCAATATTGAATAGCTAGAATTTTATCTAATTTTATAATTTTTGGCCTTTAATAGGTAGTCTACTTATATTCATTGCAATTATTAAAATATTTGGCTAAAATAATTAAAATATGTTATATATTTTATTTCATATTTTCTTTTCATCAGGCTATTTCTTTACTTCCTTTATGACAGCTTTACTAACAGCTATTTAATTTGTTTTGAAAGTTCATTTATTTTGTTTTGGGTTTTTTTGGTACCATATTTCCCTTCTACTTGTTTGAACATTTTGCATTTTCTCTCTATTCCTGTGGTGATTACCCTTAATACTTTAACACCTATATGTAATTTAAACACAAAAAAGCAATCAAACCTTTTTCATTATAATACTTTAGCACTGTTTTAGTCTTGTAATCTCTGCAGTGAAGGATAGTGGTTGCCTACCCACTACATACTTATCCCTTGTACCAAAGATACTTTAAATTTGTTGAAGTACCAACACCTTCACTGCATATCATGTGTGTATATTTTGTTTTGCTTTGCTTTTCTGAAGGAAAAGCTAACTCCATCTCTTGTTATGGGAGTCAACCTAGTTATGCATAATGTCATTAACTTGTTGGGGTTGGTAATGGTTAGTTATGTTAACAGTATTTCCAGGAAAAGCTGTGTGATCCAACACTAGCCATTGATACACGATAAGCAGCCTTACAGAAGGACTGTGAGAAAAAGTTTCTTCTTCTTTAAGAGAAAGCCATAGGAAAATGTTATTTATCTTTTTTCTCCCAATTGCCAAATTTGGATGAGACATGTGGAACTGCTATAAATGTATTGTTCCCAATATGTTGATTCAACAAACATCAAATATGCAACTAACCTTGAAGATAACTACATCTGGAGTTCCTATTAAAAGTTTTCTTATTGTTTGGTCTGTTGAGCCATGTCTTCCATTTTGAGTGTGTGAGTGTGCTTTTATTTTTCATATGTGTATAGACTCAGGGTATTACTATTATATGTTGCCCAGGCTGGTTTCAAGCTCCTGTCCTCAAGCAATCCTCTTGCATTGGCCTCCCAAAGCAGATTATAGATATGAGGCACCACACCCAGCCAAGTTATGATCCGTAATACTTGCAGCCAAGAGCATTCTGACTTATAATGATGGTGGCAACCTGTTTGGAGCAGCCACTGTGGGGACGCTGCAGCAGGGGAGGCGTGGCCAGGGCTGCATGTTCAGGAGCCGTCAGGAGCTGGGAACAGGCAGGAGCCCTGTCCCCTTCCAAGTTGGTGGGGCAGGAGTCCCATGCTTAGCTGCAGCTGCCCAGCAGTGGCTGCAGACTTGGTATCCCTGTGCTTTTTGAAGCCCAGGAAGCCCCCTTGCCTCTGCAGGCTTGAAAGAGCTTGGTGCCACTGCCTGGCCTTTCTCAACTCCTGGTTGCTCCGAGTGTGGAGCAACATTGTGGCCAAGCCCAGGTGCTATCACAACCCAGCCAGGAGGTTGCACGTGCTCAGGGTGGTGCTGACACACCAGCCCCCTGCCGCCTCATCCCCCTCCAGACTTTGGGCGCCCATGACCACAGGAGTGGAGCTGAGGGGGTGCTGAGGGTCATTTGGCACAGGCCTGCCAGCACTGCTTGGCATGAACAGCCTGGGCACTATGGATGCCAAGTTGATGGCAACAATAGGCAGATGGCTCCTGGGCATAAAGGGTTGGTTCCCTGGAGAGGCCCTGCTTCAAGCCATCCTGAAGGCTGTCAGTTCCAGGTGAAGTCCTTGGCCCTGAGTGAAAACTTATGGTGCTTTTTCCAGGCCTGCACATGGCTGCCCTTGGACGAGTCAGCACACACTTCCTGCCTTCTGAAGTCCATAAAAACCTCAGACAGCCAGACTTACACAGACTGTGGGACTACCAGCTGTGGGAAGCAGTGACCCAATTCAGGTCTCCTTGACTTGTCAGGACAACCTGCTTGCAGAAAGGAGCTACCCACTGCAGGTCTCCTTTCTGCTGAAAGGTGGACACTCATTGGGACAACCAGCCTGCAGAAAGGAGCTACCCACTGCAGGTCTCCTGAGAGCTGTTCTGTTGCTCAATGAACCCCCTCTTTGCCTTGCTCACGCTCCAGTTTTCCACATACGTCATTCTTCCTGGATGCAGGACCAGAGCTCAGGACCACAGAATGGTGGGACTGAAAGAGCTGTAACACAAACAAGGCTGAAACATACCCTCCACTTGACACCTTGTGAGTGACAAGAAGAAGAAAAGAGTTGTTGACTTTCAGGGAGCCCAAACCTAGGGCCTCCCCAAGCCAGGGTTGTGACACCTTTGAGGCTCTATGGTTCCTAGCATTTCCAAGCTTCTGGGCACAACTGCATTACCCGGTACCCATAGTGGAAGCCACTTGCAGTATGCCTGGTCCAGCTGCAGCCTCACACAGAGCTAGCACCTATGTTAGCACTTGGAGTTGCCCACCTCACCACAGCTGGCATGCCTGGCAGTGCACAGTGGCCAGACCTCACTTGCAGACCTCTCATTGCTGCACATCTGGCTTGCCCTTGGCAGACATGGAATCCAGGCTGGTTGCTTCACCAAGTGAGTGGAACAAGCTCACTTGGGCCCAGCAGGCCCAAGAAAAACCCAAGCAGATGCGTCACCAGTCACAGAGGTTTCTGGTTGGTAAAGTGACACCCTAAGAATCCTGTAGCAATAACAATGCCAATTCTCCTGTATATTGTTATTGTGTAGTATTTTGGTTCCATCATGCTTTTACTCAGTGCCCCCTCCCTGCTCTCATTACCCACTGTTATAGTTGTTTTGAGACATATAAACAAATCAGTAAACCATTAGTCAATACATTTATAGAACACTGGCAAATAATGGACCAGGTAAAGTATGCAAAGAAAATCTCAACAAACACAAAAACATTAATATTTAACACAGCACATTTATGAAGGGAAACATGAGCAGCAGTTCAAGAGAAGCAATGTACAAACCATAAAACTATTCACTGTGCTCAATGCCTTTACTGTGCTCCTCATCATCAATTCTCCTCCTATCTTTACCTTGCTGTGTGCCTGAGAAAGTGACCTCTATGGACTGTGTAAGGTGCTCCCATTCCCTTTGGTTTCCAGGTGGAGTCAGCCAATGGGCAGTTTAGAAGGTGATAAAAGGCAGGTGGTATTTATTGCCTTGGCTCCTCTCTTGTGAAGGGAGTAAGCTCCTGTCAGTACAGTTTTCTTCCTTGGCTATGCTTATCCTGAGAAGTCAGGAACTGTGGAGGACAAGAGATTTTGCCTTCCTGACAACAGATAAGGTGATTATATTCATATCCTGACCAAAGAGACTAGAGACCTGGTCAAAGACAAAGATTGTTTACTGTTTACAGCAAAAAGCAGCAGCCTGAGCAATCTCTTAAGTTCATACAAAATACCTCCATTCACACATATCATGCTGAGGCCCAAGTATTCACCTAGCTTGTGGTGGGTTGCATTACAGGAGAGAAACCCTCAGTTAGGGGACTGGTTTTTTTTATCAAGGCTACTAATGATCTTCCCATCCTCCCCTCCAGAGGGAGAACTTTTTCAATGAAATGCTAGCAAAACTCCTTAAGTGTTGAGGGGAAAGGGTCTCCAGGTTGGTAACACTGGAAAGTAAGCCAATGTCTCCTGTGACAGAAAGGGGAAGGCTTTAGGATATTGGCATGCTTCTAAGGGGAGAATGGCATTTCCTATCTTTCATCTCTAGCTGTCAAGGTGGATTGTTTGTGGACCATGTGGGAATGCTGAGAAATGAAGCAAAAAAGCCTCCCAACACTTTCACCGTAGTCTGAACTGATGAGTACTCCCCAATGTTCCTAACATTGGATGTTGCATTATATCTCATTAGTTTCCCACAAATCTGCTCATTTTTGTAAATAGTCCATTTATTAAATTCTTAAATTACCCAGTTTTTCTATGTCACATGGTTGCAGGTAGAGACCATATCTTAGTCAAGGGGATATATTGAATACATTTCTAAATAACAAAAAACAACTCTATTTGATTTAGCAGAGGGGCTGTAACAAAATATAAGCTTTTGGAAGGATGAGGGAATGAAGACTGGAAGTGAAGTAACCAGGAACAATGTCCAGAATAATTGTAGAGAGTTAGTTTAGTGGTCCCTGCTCTCATTACAGACACACGATGTTACAAACACTGACACTGAGTTCTGATGCTGACTCTAGAACTTTTGGGCACACTGTTCCCTCTAACTCTGATAGGCCTCTGCTGGCTGTCTCCATCCTCACCAGCACAACTTTCTCGAAATTCCAGACTCTGTATCCCTATTTCCAATTCAGCCTCCAGTACAAGCACTGATTGGCAGAGCCTGGTTAGATACCACCACTCCAATTGTAAGGGAACCTAGTATGCTGAGGTTCTACAAAGAAAGGTGATACACTCTGCCATATAACTTGAGGAATTCCTGAAATATAGGGAATTTTAGATTCTGAGCAGCCAAACTAAGTGACCAATGGCCACCACCTGCCCATCCCAATAAGTGGCCAATTAGAGAAAAGTCATGATCCAGAGGGAAATAGGGATCAATGGGATATCTTATATCAGGCCAAGGAGATGTAGAAATTTTCATAAAAACTTTCATTAATTCCTAGCATATTGCAACAGATACTTGGATAAGATGGTGCAAGCTGGCTAGGAAAGCCAGCTCTTCCTGGTTTGCCTGGGATTTTTTAAGTTTTTTAACAGTTGGATACTCTGACAATAAAGGTTTATAGTTGGATACCCTGACAATAAAGGTTTATAATTAGGACATGCCTTCAGTCAACAGCATTATGTTGCCTTGATTGTCAGTGTTGTGGGAATCAGGACACTGTTGTGGGAATCAGGACACTGGAGAGACCAGTGAGGGGAACAGGACGATTGTATTTAGGTGGCCACCAGCTCAGCAGATTAATACCCAGAGGCTGAGCAATGAACAAAGAAAGGGCTTGACTTTTATTCATGAGACCAAAGGGTGTTGGCCTGTGGTGCAAAACTTGTGGGGTGGGGAAAGCAAGCTTACAGAAGCAGAACAAACGCAGTTAATCAAACTGTGACAGGTCTTGTAACTCAGGCATGTCTTGTGACCTTTGCCATCCTGCACAGATGGGAAAAACAGGACCTTACAAAATCCTTGCAAACTTGCAGAAGTAGTTACAAAAATAGTTATACAAGCAGAACAAAGAATGATGGCATGGGGAGAGAATTTCAGGGAGAGATTGAAAAGAACTTGTTTTTCTTCTCCCTGATCTTGTTAGTCCTATGGCTGTTCTTTCCCATACCCAGCCATGGACTTCTTGCATGGCTTTCCCTAAGGCCTGCATTTGCCTTCTTAAGGACAATTCTCCTAGCTCACAGAGATCACCCTTAATTTGACCTATGATTGGGAGTGGCCGGCCGAACAAGATCTCATAGGGCGAATACCCAGTTTGGTGCAAGTGCACCTGATTCAGAGGAGGACCATGGGCAGGATCTGATCCCATCTTAGATGTGTTTCTTGGCAATATTTCTTTAATAGCTGCTGGAGTGTCCAGTTCATGTGCTCCACTTTTCCTTAGCTTTGCAGCCAGTAAGCTATGTGTAGCTTCCACTTCCTGAATCCTCAGGGGCTTGGTTTGCAACAGGTAGGTCCTGCACCAGTCTATATTCATTAGTCCCCAGTTTCTGCACTGGCAAAAGGAGAGTGTTCTACAGTGACTGTCATCGGGCCAAGATCCTGTGTTCTAATTGCCACTTCAAATGCCCTTGAATGCCATGTATTGCTTCTCAGGGAAGTGGGTAATAACGAAACCGAACCAGTGTTTCTCCTGATTTTAGTTCTACTATCTTTTGTATCTGGTTCACAGCGAGGGTAGGGGCATTATCTTCAGCCCACACTCTACGAATTTTACTAGGCACCCATACAGCTCATCTAGCCCCAGCTTTGACAACCCTTCTGCATACAGCCTCCATTCTTCCACCTGTGGGACATCAAGAGTTAACACCATATATTCAGGATGGTGGCAGGCTTAAAGTTATGGCCCCTTAGGCCCCTACTTCCACCTCTCCCTCATCACCCTCTGGACATTCATTCTTCCAGTGTCCTTTCTTCTTGCACCCCACACACTGGTCCCTATCTAGTGCTGCCTGATCCTCGGGTCTTTGCCTGATTTGACCTCTTCCTTGTCCGCACCTACATCCACTTCGTCTTGGGACATTCGCCCCCCTTTCCATAAGTGCTGCCACCAGCAAATTGGCCTTTTCCCTGAGTCTCCTCCTCACAGTTAGTGTACACCTTGGTGGCCACTTCTAAAACCTGAGTGACATTCATGCCAGTGAAACACTCTAGCTTTTGCAGCTTTCGCCTGATGTCTCCCTGGGTTTGCCCTACAAACACTGCGTTTACCATGCACTGGTTCTCAGTAGCCTCAGGGTCAAATGGACTGCAAAGCTGGAAGGCCTCATAGAGTCTCTCATAAAACTGGCTACAGCTTTCATCTGCTCTCTGAAGCACCTCTGAAATGTTTCCCATATTGAATGCCTTTTTCTCTCCTTTTCTCAAAACTTGCAGGAGTGCCTCTTGGTACCTCTGCAGTTGCTGTAGTTGGGCTTCCTTGTTTGGGTCCCAGTGCGGGTCTGCTTCTGGGAACTGGCCCTGTGCATATGCCAGGACATTAAGGGTGCCTTCCAGTGCATTGTTTTCTAGCCACTGGTGGGCTACCTAGGTCACCCTTCAGCATTCCTTGGTGTTGAACAGCATCAGGAAAAGCTGTTTGCAGTCTGGCCAAGTTGGATTGTGTGTCTCAAAAATAGACTGCATCAGATTTTGTGAGAGCTTGGGGCTTCTCCATGTAGGAGGGAGTATGGTGTTTCCAGTTTAGGAGATCAATAGTTGAAAAAGGGTGATAAATGAAAGTTGGTTGCCCACCCTTGGACCTGGCCCTGTTCATCATAATACATGGGTCCCCAAGTTTCTCAGAGAGGCATCTGCAAAGCTCTTGCAGCCAGATTAAAGGCGGCCTGCTTGATCATTTTGACCTTCCTCCTTGACCTCCTGGGGCAAGGGCTCAGATTTCACACTTTGGGGTTAGCCTGAGGTGTATCATCATCTGAGTCTGGCTGCTATTGGGCCAGGCTTGGTAAAGGTGGATAGATTGGTGCATAGGGGAGAGGGGTTTCTATTTCCGCTGGTGGTTCCTGCAAAACTGGTTTTTCTTGTGGTTTTTCCTTTCTGTTTGTAGCTGACAGTAAAGCTGAATTCTCTTTCACTTTTGGCTCAGCTCGAGCTACCAGTGTTCTGCAATAAGCTGCCAGGCAGGGCTCTAGCCATACAGGTCGAGTTTGAATTATATTCAGCCGTGAGTCAATATAAGGAAATTGGCCTGGAAGTCCAGGCTGTCCTCCGACCTCAGTCACCACCTTAAATACACAGCCAATTATTTCCCCATCTATAGTTCCTTCGGCCGGCCATCCAATACTGAAAGAGGACCACTCTATTTCACAGACAGTTCTCAACCTCTGGGGGTCAACTTGATCCCATAATCCCCCACATAATCTTTCTTAAAGTTGTTTAACATGCATTCTAATGGGGTGGGTTTCAACAACTTCCCTCCCATTTCCTCCCATTTACAGCACAATTCACTCACTGTTTTACTTTCACTTCAGACCGATTAGACTGTCTCCCTCACAGGAGTATTTCAGACACTGCTAAGCTTTAAAGGAGGGTTTGAGTCCCAAACCCAGACCACCACAATCACTAAACTGTGGGGCACCTCCCTAGCATACAGTCTATGCTAAGAGACCTGTGGCTCCACACACACCATTCCCCACGTTGGTTCCTTTTGGAATCGTCTGTTTCACACACATTCACACACCTCCCCACTCCCGGTTTCGTTTCTTAACTGACTTAGCAAGCCACTTTTGTGTCCTGGGTTGGTTGGGGTGTAGGTTTCTTCCAAATTTGCGAGCCACTCTTGCATCCTGGGTCATATTACTAGGTATACCCTGGGAGGTGATGAGGCTCCCCTTCTGTCATGGGACAGGTCTTGCCTCGGGCCCAAACCTTACCGAGGTCCTGTAGCACACTGTTCCTTGAATCATCCTGTAGCCCCTTAGGTTCTGTTGTGCTGTCAGAGAGCGGCACCAGGTTGCGGGAGAGCTGATCTCCCCTCGGGTTGAAGTTGTCCTGATAGCATGCCTGGAGTCACGGGTCTCCCCCAGGCTGGGGCCCCAGACCCACAGGCAAAGGAGACAGCAAACCTGTCGTCTTCACTCCTGGCTGGCTCACCAAAATGTGGCTGGAATCAGGAGACCGGAGAGACCAATGAGGGGAACAGGACGATTGTATTTAGGTGGCCACCAGCTCAGCAGATTAATACCCAGAGGCTGAGCAATGAGCAAAGAAAGGGCTTGACTTTTATTCATGTGACCAAAGGGTGTTGGCCTGTGGTGCAAAACTTGTGGGGTGGGGAAAGCAAGCTTACAGAAGCAGAACAAACGCAGTTAAACTGTGACAGGTCTTGTAACTCAGGCATGTCTTGTGACCTTTGCCATCCTGCACAGATGGGAAAAACAGGACCTTACAAAATCCTTGCAAACTTGCAGAAATAGTTACAAAAATAGTTATACAAGCAGAACAAAGAATGATGGCATGGGTAGAGAATTTCAGGAAGACACTGATAAGAACTTGTTTCTCTTGTCCCTGTTTTTGGAACCCATTTCTTCAGGGCCCCTACCTGGCCTTGCAGGTAATGTTATCACAGCTGTAGCTGGACTTTGGAGTGAGTCAGCCTGGTCAGGGAAGGACTTGTTTTTCTTTTTACTTGTTTTTCTTATATTTCCTGCTTCATGAGCAAGAAACAACAAGCTTTACCTTCACAGTAGAAGAGTCCAGCAGAACAAAGTTGGAAGCAGAGGGAGTGAATCTAAACCTATGGACAGATTCATCTTGGAAACCCTAAGTGAGGCTAAAGGTGAGTGTCTAGCTGATACCAGAAAGTCATTATGACTAATTCTAACTGTTGGAGTGCAAAAGTCAGTCTCAAAGCTAACAGCCAGTACTAGGAAACAGAAACAAAGTAACAAGAAACTCTTATAGCAGCAGAGTCCTCCTAAATAATTCCATTGCCTGGTATTTTTCATCATTAATCTACTTAGAAAGAAAATTGGGCCTTTTTAAATTATTATTATGATGAACTGCTCATAACATAAAATTTTCCACGATAATCATTTTTAAGTGTACAATTCAGTACTTTTAAATGCCTTCACATTGTTGATGTAACCTGTTTCTAGAACTTTATCTTGTAAAACAGAAATGCTATACCTATTAAAACAACTTCTCCCTATTTTCCCCTCCCCACAGTCCTGTCAACCATCATCTACATACTGTCTCCCTGAATTTGACTATTCCAGGGACTTCATATAGACAGAATCATGCTGTATTTGTTCTTTTATGTCTGGCTTATTTTACTTAACACTGTTTTTACTGTAAGTCCAGTTGTAGCATATGTCAGAATTGTATTCTATTTTAAGGCTGAATAACATTCCATTTTAAGTATATTTCATATTTTGTTTATCCGTTCATCTCTTAATGGAAATGTGAATTGTTTCCACCTTTTGCAGTTGTGCATACTCTTGCCATAAATATTTATGTCCAAATATCTGTGAGCCAGGCTTTCAATTATTTGGGGTATATATGTAATCTTGGAATTGCTGAATCATTTTCCACATCAGCTGCACCATTTTGTACTTTCACTAGCAATTCATAATATCCATTTTCTCCACATTTTTCCCAACACTTATTTGCTCTTAAAAGTAAGTATTAATTTGTATGAAATGGTATCTCGTTGTAGCTTTAATCTGCATTTCCCTAATGGACAATGATGTTGAGAATCTTTTCATGTGCTTATTGATGATTTGTATATCTTCTTTGGTGAGAAATGTCCATTCAAACCCTTAGCCTATTTTTAATTGGTTTTTCTTGTTGAGTTGTAGGAGTTATTTATATATTCTGGATATTAGTTTCTTATCAGATATATGATTGACAGATATTTTCCCTATTTGTGGATTGCCTTTTCACTCTGTTGGTAGTGTTTTTAGGTATTCAGAAGTTTCTAATTTTGTCCAGCTTACATATTTTTTATTTTGCTGGGTGTAGTGGCTTAAACCTGTAATCCCAGCACTTCGGGAGGTCAAGGTGGGCAGATGACCTGAGGTCGGGAGCTTGAGACTGGAGTCACCAACATGGAGAAACTCTGTCTTTACTAAAAAACAAAATTAGCTGGTCGTGGTGGCACATGCCTATAATCCCAGCTAATCCCAGATTCTCTCGAGGGAGGAGAATTGCTTGAACCCAGGAGGCAGAGGTTGCAGTGAGCCAAGATTGTGCTATTGCACGCCAGCCTGGGCAACAACAGCAAAACTCCATTTCAAAAAAAAGATATTCTGAAGTATTTTATTCTTTTGGATTCTATTTTAAATAGGATTATTTTCTTAATTTCCTTTTCAGATTATTCAGTGCCAATATATGAAAATATGACTTATTTGTATGTACTGAATGTCTAACAGTTTGTGTATTTTTTTGTGTAATCTTTATGTTTTCAACATAAAGGTTTACGTCATTAGCAAATTAAGATGATTTCATTAATCTTTTACAATTTAGATGCCTGTTATTTTTTCCTTGCCAATTGACCTGCCTTAAATTTCCAGTACGCTGTTAAATAGCAGCAATTTAGATAGGCACCTCTGGCACAGTGGCTCACACTGTAATCCCAGCACTTTCGGAGGCCAAGGCAGACGGATCACTTGAAGCCAGGAGTTCAAATTCAACTTTTCCTTTTTTGCAGAATTTCTGTGTACTATTTACCAATGATCTAAAACGCAACATATTGTAGTGTAAACCTAAAAAAACAAACACAGAGACTCTTTAAAAGAAAAGGTGTTTATTTGGAAAAGGAAAATTGCAAGCAATGCACAAGCTATAGTAAACTAGGTGCACATTCAGAGCAGTAAAGGAAGACAAAGGAGCTTTAAAGTAGTAAATGAGGAGGATTACATAACTGTTATGAAATAACTATCCCTGGCTACAAAGATCAGTAACACAGGTGTGTGGGTAAGTCAGAAAGAAAAGTAACAAACATAATGCTAGTCTGAGGTTGAATAGGCAGTTGTTGGCAGATGTCTTGTGGAAATTTTTTTGTGGAAATTTTTTTTGTAAGTTTGTGATATGGTTCCGATCTGTGTTCCCACCCAAATCTCACACTGAATTGAAATCTTCAGTATTGAAGCAAGGGCCCTTTTTGGGGGTGATTGGATCATGGGGGCAGTTGCTCACAATCCCCCTTTGGTGCTGTCATTCTGATAGTGAGCTCTCCTGTGATATGGTTGTTTAAAAGTGTGTGCCACTTTCCCCTCTCTCTCTGGATCCTGCTCCAGCCATGTGAGACACTTGTATCTGCTTTGCCTTCTGCCATGAGTTAAAGCTCCCTGAGGCCTCCCCAGAAGCACATGTTTCCATGCTTCCTGTGCAGCCTGGAGAACTGTGAACCAATTAAACCTCTGTTCTTTATAAATTACCCAGTCTCAGACATTTCTTTATAGCAATATGAGAACAGACTAATAGTGATACTAACAATCACTTGGTCCAATAACCTTTAAATCCTGGTATCCAGAATTCTGCATAGTAGTTTAAACGGGCTTGAAATTAGTTTAAATAAGACCACTTAAATGGACTAATAGTTTGTGATGGACATTGTGCAAGGTTGTAGAGTTTTGTAGAGTCTTCTTTGCTATCAGGCATACAAGTACCTATATTCCTGGCCTTTCCTGGCTCCATTTGTTAGGAATTTTTTTTTAACATTAGGGACTCCATTTTTAATCTGACAGCTTTCACGGTATACATGTGTAATATTGTCGACGTAAAGTAATTTGCTTCTAAGTGTCAGATAAAAATAATCGGTGAGAAGGTCCAAAGTTGGGGGAAATAAAGAATGTGGCTTTACTACAATATCAACCACTATGTGACTTTAACTGGCAGCCTCAATTCTCATATTTATAAAACAACATACTGAAGAGTATTCATGTTTATACCTTTTTCCCACATTATACATTTTCAAATGAATACTATCCACAAATCTAATATGCCAAAGTGATCAAAAGCCTGCTGCTAACTAAAAAAAAGAGTATGAAAAAAATAATGAACCAAGAAAAAAAAGGCAGCTGATATGGCTAGGTGTGCACATGTAGGATTATTTTCTCCCATCATGCTATAACTATCCACGACCACCTTACGGTTTCATTGTACTGAACCCTGTTTAAACTACCTCTGCAGAATCCTGTGTGCCAGTGAGAGGTAACAGCGCGCTGGCAGTCCTCAGAGCCCTCACTTGCTCTCGGCACCTCCCCTGCCTGGGCTCCCACTTTGGTGGCATTTGAGGAGCCCTTCAGTCCCCCCACTGCACTGTGGGAGCCCCTTTCTGGGCTGGCCAAGGCCAGAGCCCACTCCCTCAGCTTGCAGGGAGGTGTGGAGGGAGAGGCGCGAGTGGGAACCGGGGCTGCGTGCGGTGCTTGCGTGCCAGCTGGAGTTCCGGGTGGGCATGGACTTTGTGGGCCCCGCACTCGGAGCAGCCAGCCAGCCCTGCTGGCCCCGGGCAGTGGGGAACTTAGCACCCGGGCCAGTGGCTGCGGAGGGTGTACTGGGTCCCCCAGCAGTGCCAGCCCACCGGCGCTGCGCTCGATTTCTCACCGGGCCTTAGCTGCCTTCCCGCGGGGCAGGGCTCGGGACCTGCAGCCCGCCATGCCTGAGCCTCCCACCCACTCCATGAGCTCCTGTGCGGCCAGAGCCTCCCGGACGAGCACCACCCCCTGCTCCACGGCACCCAGTCCCATCGACCACCCAAGGGCTGAGCAATGCGAGCGCACGGCACGGGACTGGCAGGCAGCTCCACCTGCAGCCCCGGTGCGGGATCCACTAGGTGAAGCCAGCTGGGCTCCTGAGTCTGGTGGAGACGTGGAGAGTCTTTATATCTAGCTCAGGGATTGTAAATACACCAATCAGGACCCTGTGTTTAGCTCAAGGTTTGTGAGTGCACCAATCGACACTCTGTATCTAGCTGCTCTGGTGAGGACGTTGAGAACCTTTATATCTAGCTCAAGGATTGTAAATACACCAATCGGCACTCTGTATCTAGCTCAAGGTTTGTAAACACACCAATCAGCACCCTGTGTTTAGCTCAAGGTTTGTGAGTGCACCAATCCACACTCTGTATCTAGCGGCTCTGGTGGGGCCTTGGAGAACCTTTATATCTAGCTCAGGGATTATAAATACACCAATCAGCACTCTGTTTCTAGCTCAAGGATTGTAAACGCACCAATCAGCACCCTGACAAAACAGGCCACTCGGCTCTACCAATCAGCAGGATGCGGGTGGGGCCAGATAAGAGAATAAAAGCAGGCTGCCCGAGCCAGCATTGGCGAGCCAGCATTGGCAACCTGGTAGGGTCCCTCTCCACTGTGTGGAAGCTTTGTTTTTTCGTTCTTTGCAATAAAGCTTGCTACTGCTCACTCTTCGGGTCCACACTGCATTTATGAGCTGTAACACTCACCGCGAAGATCTGCAGCTTCACTCCTGAGCCCAGCGAGACCAAGAGCCCACCGGGAGGAAGGAACAACTCCAGAGGCGCTACCTTAAGAGCTGTAACACTCACCGCGGAGGTCTGCAGCTTCACTCCTGAGCCAGCGAGACCACAAACCCACCAGAAAGAAGAAACTCCAAACACATCTGAACATCAGAAGGGACAGACTCCAGATGCGCCACCTTAAGAGCTATAACACTGAGGGTCCGCGGCTTCATTCTTGAAGTCAGTGAGACCAGGAACCCACCAATTCCGGACACACCAGGATTTAAACATTACTGGACCTAAAACTACTTCATAGAAATAATTCCAACTTTCTAGTCCAATTGAGGAAAGTTTTCACTCACTGAATAATTAAAGAAAAATTAAATTCTTTGTAGTATTTGTAAGTGTGGGAAACAATTTAACATTTTACTAATTTCTAAGTTTACAGTTCACTAGTGTTAACTGTATTCACACTGTTCTGCAGTAGATCTATAAAGCTTTTCTTGACAAGTTATAAATGTATATTAATGGAGTACAAAATGACGTTCTCATACATGTGTATGTTGTAGAAAAATTAAGCTTATTAACATATCCATTACCTCACACACTTACTCTTTTTATGAGAACATTTAAAACCTACTTTTAGCAATTTTAAGGTATACATTATTATTAACTACAGTTATCATAGTATAAAATGTATTACTTATTTCTCTTATCTAAGTAATACTTTGTGCCCTTGACCAATGTCTGCCCATTGCCTATATGCTCCTACCCCAAGGCCATTATATTCTCTGCTTTGATAAGTTCAATTTTTAATATTTCCACATATAAGTGAATATATGCAGTATTTGTCTTTCTGTACCTACCTTATTTCTCTTAATATAATAGCTAGTAGGTTTATTTATGCTGTCACAAATGCCAGAAGTTCCTTTTGTTAAAGGCTTAATCGTATTTCCTTGTGTAGATACACCACATTTTCTGTATTCCTTTATTTGTTAATGGACATTTAAGTTGATTTTATATCTTGGCTATTATGAATAATGACTGCAGTGAACATGGAAGTGCAGATAACTCTTCCACATGCTGATTTCAATTTCCTTGGATAAATACCCAGAACTGGAATTGTTAGATCATGTGTAAGGAAGGATAACCTGCATCATAAAAGAAGGAAGATCTCAAATAAGAACCTACTGTTTTACCTCAAGAAATTAGAAAAGAACAATCTAAGCCAAAAGTTAGCAGAAGAGCAGAAAGATGAGAAAAGAAATAAAATAGGACTAGAAAAACATTTTAAAAGATTAACAAAACTGAGATTTAACTTAGTGAAAAATAAGCAAATTTGATAAATCTTTACACTAAGAAAAAAATGAAAGAAGACTAAAATAAATAAAACCAGAAATAAGAGGGGACATTACATCTTATATCACAAAGGTACAAAGATTATGAAACTATTACAAACCAAAAATTTTATACCAAACAATGAGGTAACATAGAAGAAATGAATAAATTCATAGAAATATAAAACCTATCAAAGGTGAACATGAAGAAATAAAAAATGAACAAACCAAATTATTAGTAAGGAAACTGAATCAGTAATAAACACTTTCCCATGATCAAGGTTGTGGTGAGCAGTGATCTCACCACTTCACTCCAATGTGGGTGACAGAGCAAGACCCTGTCTCAAAAAACAAGAAAGTCTTTCATCAAAGCAAATCCCAAGATTTGATGGCTTCTGGGTGAATTCTACCACATAATTTAAGAAAAACTAATGCCAATCCCTTGCCAACCCCGTCCAGAAAGTTAAAGGAGATGCAATACTTCCAAACTTATTTTCTAAGGCTAGAATTACCCTAAACCCAAGCCAAACAAGAATATCACAAGGAAAGAAAATATAGGCCAATATTCCTGATAAACATAGATGCAAACTGTCTCAAACAAATGCTAGCAGACTAAAAGACAGCATGTTAAAAGAACATTTGCCATGATCAATTGAGATTTATCCCTGGGATGCAAGAATGGTTTAATATATACACATGAATATATGCAATATATAACATTAACAGAATGAAGGACAAAACCATATGATCATCTCAATAGATGCAGACAGGCTTTGACAAAATTCCACATCTTTTTATAATAAAAATCTCAACAAATTAGGAATGTAACTCAACACAATAAAGGCCATATATATTACTAACTTGCAGCCACATTATACTCAGAAGCTTTTCCCCAAAGATCAGGAATGAGACAAGGACGTCTACTCTCACCACTCTTATTCACTACAGTACGGGAAGTGATAGCCAGAGCAATCAGGTAAAAATAAATAAATGTCATCTAAATTGGAAAGAAATAAGTGAAACTATCTCTATTCACTGATGATATGATCTTATATATATTGAAGTCTGGCGATGCTGCCATTCTTGATAGGGTTCCTGACAAGCCCCTGTGAATGTGGACTTATTCTAACTATCCTCTGGGTCATTTTGCTGTTCATGATATGAGACAGACAGTTGATGTGTATATCATCAAAGCAGTGGACAAGAGGGCTGCTGGAGCTGGCAAGGTCCTCAGTTCTTCCCAAAAGTCTCAGAAGGCTAAATGAATGTTATCCTTAATACCTGCTACCCCAGTTTTAATCAGTGGTGGAAGAATAGTCTCAGAACTGTTTGTTTCAATTGGCCATTTAAGTTTAATAATGAAAGAATCATTAATGAAAATAATGCATCATAAAACTTGAGAAGGAAAGTAGAGTGTATTATGGGTCACTGGTAGGGAGAGTGTTGTTTGTTCGTCACTGAATTTTTTTTTTTTTTTTTTGCATATGGCAGTTTTCAGTTACTGGGTTTAAAAACCAGTACTATTTAATTGAAACAACTTGAATAAAAATCTGTCACAGCATTTTGAGAACCATTAAAACAAAGTTTAATGAGAAAACACCAAAAAAAGAACCCAAAATATATTACAAACTATATTAATCAAAGCAGCATGACACAGCATATAAACAGACACACTGACCAAGGGAACAGAATAAAAACCTATGTATTTACCATAAGCTGACTTTCAGTTGACAGGAAAAAATAAATAAAAATAAAGAAAAACAGCTTTTGTGGTGGCTCACATCTGTAATCCCACCACTTTGCAAGGCAGAGGCAGGAGGATAGCTTGAGACCAGCCTGAGAAACATAGTGAGACCCCCATTTCTACAAAAAAATTCTTAAAAATAATAATAAATTAGCCAACATAAGCAGCTAGGCTGAGGTGAGAGGATCTCTTGAACCTGGGAGGTCAAGGCTACAGTGAGCTGTGATCACTCCACTGTACTCCAGCCTGTGACCTCAAACTTCAATAATTTACAAAGTATTTCAACCTCATAGGATACAAAAATGGTTTTAAAATCTGAGTAGGTATAGATGTCATACCTCCAGGCAACAGTGATAATACTTCACTGGTAGCAGAAATGCCAAGCTACTCAAAGAGCTGCAACATTTCCAGCTGGTAGTATATTGGGGATTAAGCAGCTTTTGTCTGTATGTATTTCTTGTGTATATCCATGCATGAATACATGAATCCCCAAACATATATATATGGACATACATACACAGAAACATATATATACATGTCATGTCATCTGTTGTCTACCAATATTCAAACACGTACCTTAAAATAAGGTAGAAATTTATTTAGAAATAAAAGCAGATATCAAAACAAAACAGGAATAATATATTAAACAAAATTTTATGAGCAAAAATATATGTATAATAAAACAAAATCCATGAGGCCAACTTAATTTTGACTACCTAATAGCTACTGAGTATGGAAAAACTGTATTTCTAACATGATTTACATTAACTACCCCTGGGGCAGTTAATTTTAAAAAACAAAATACTCATGCAGTTACTCACGCCACATCTTTTCCAGCCTTTTGAGTTTTGCTTGCTGACTCTGCTTCTGAATTTTATTTACCTTTGAAGAATTTAACTCATGGGAGACCATACAAGATTTATGAAATGCACATTATTTACATGTGCATTAAAAAGTATACTTATTGAATGAAAACTTGCCCTGTAAAAAGCTTACATAAAAGTATGAATATGAACTATACATAAATGTATAAATATGAACTATTTAGGCCCTGCTTTACCTGCACTGCTTTTTTTTTTTTTTTTTTTTTTTTTGAGATACAGTCTCACTTTGTGGCCAAGGCTGGAGTGCAGTGGCTCAATCTCCACTCACTGCAACCTCCACCTCCTGGTTTCAAGGGATTCTCCTGCCTCAGCCTCTGGAGTAGCTGGGACTACAGGTGCACATCACCATACCTGGCTACTTTTTTGTATTTTTAATAGAGACAGGGTTTCACTATGTTGGCCAGGCTGATCTCAAACTCCCGACCTCAGGTGATCTGCCCACCTTGGCCTCCCAAAGTGCTGGGATTACCGGCATGAGCCACCACATCCGACCTGTGAGTTTCTGGTTTGGTTTAGTTCTATAATTTTTCACATAAAACACAATACGTTGCATAATTATTTTGTAACTTCCTTCAAGCGCTCTTTAGCAAAGATTCACAAACTTGAGAGTGCATCAGAATAAAGTCCTTAACTTTAAGGACTTATTAAATCAGATCGCTGGGCTTATTGGTAGGAAAAATATTGGCAAATGAATTATGCCTGCCTAAAATCTCAAGTAACAGCAAAGAATGATGTCCATAAGATGGTATACTAGAACTCTCCAGGCCCTCATTCCACCACTGAGACACCAAGTTAAGAATAAACTGCAGACCAGAATATCTTTATGAGAGCTCTCAAGATCAGCTGAGAAACTACAGCACCCATGCCAAGTAAAATCAAGAAGAGTTATCAGATTATCAGTAATTTCTCAACAGAAACATTGCAGGCCAGAAGGCAGTGTGATGATACATTTAAAGTGCTGACATTTTAAAACTGCCAACCAAATAAACTGTACTGGCAAACTATCCTTCAAAAATGAGTAAAAAATAAAAGTTTCCCACATAATTCTTAAATAAAAAAAGAAAAAGTAAGGATAAATTTATGCTAATGAATAAACATAACCAAGTATGGAGGTTACAGCTAAAGAGGCACATATATGTGATTGAAGTTAAGTTATATCAATTTAAAATAGAATGTTATAAACTTTAAGATATTTAATTGCAATGATAATATTGTAAACATAATATATCCAGAATATACACAAAAGAAATTAGCAAGGAATCACTACCAAAAAAAAAAAAAAAAAACTAAACACAAAGGAAGGCACTAAGACGTAAGCAGGAACAAAAAAGCTAAACAGAAAATAATTAACAAAATGGCAATAGTAAGTCCTTCCCCTATTATAATCTAATTTAAATGTAAATAGATTGAAATCTAAAAATAACATTGGAGTGTCCATGTGCAGGGGCTCAGGCCTGTAATCCTAGCACTTTAGGAGGTTGAGGCTGATGGATCATTTGAGGCCAGGAGACTAGCCTGGCCAAAGTAGCAAAACCCAATCTCTACTAAAAATATAAAAATTAGCTGGGTGTGGTGGCACACAACTGTAATCCCAGCCCCTCAGGAGGCTGAGGCACAAGAATCACTTGAACCCAGGAGTAGGACATTACAGTGAGCTGAGATTGTGCCACTGCACTCAAGGTGGGGTGATAGAGCAAGACTCCATCTCAAAAAAAAAAAAAAGAAAGAGAGACTCTGTCTCAAAAAAAAAAAAAAAAGAAGAAGAAAGAAAATAACATTGTAACATTGGAGACTATTAATGACTGGCTATAAAACAACAAAAGAAAACACAATCCAACTATATGTCATCTATCTTAGATCTAATGACATACATACTGAAGGTGAAATGATGAAAAAAGATAATTCAGGCAATAGTAACCAAAAAGAGCAGGAATGACTACAATAACAGATAAAATAGACTTCATGCAAAAAACTATTCAAAGAGGCAAAAAATGTTATATAATAATAAAAGGGTCAATTCAACAAGAAAATATTTTAAAATTTCAAAATTGAATCAGTAATAAATAACCATCAACCAAAACAAAAGCCCAGGATAAGATGGATTCACAGCTGAATTCTAGTGGATGTAAGAAAGAGCTGGTACCATTCCTGCTGAAACTAGTCCCAAAAAATTGAGGAAGAGGGAATCCTCCCTAGCTCATTCTATGAAGCCATCATCATCCTGATACCAAAACCTGGCAGAGACACAACTAACAAAAAAAATTTCAGGCTAATATCCTTGATGAACGTCAATGGAAAAATCCTTAACAAAATACTGGCAAACTGAATCCAGCATTAGATAAAAAAGCTAATTAATCAACTATAATCAAGTAGAGTTTATCTTCTGGGATGCAAGTTTGGTTCAACAAATACAAATAAAAAAATGTAAATTATCCCATAAACAGAACTAGAGACCAAAACTACAAGATCATCTCAATAGATGCAGAAAAGGCTGCTATAAAATTCAACACTGCTTCACGATAAAAGCTCCTAATAAACTAGGTATTAAAGAAACACAACCCAAAATAACAAGAGCCATCTATGACTAACCCACAGCCAACGTCATACTGAATGGACAAAAGCTGAAGGCATTTCTCTTGAAAACTGGCACAAGACAAGGAGGCTCTCTCTCATCACTCTTATTCAACATAGTATTGGAAGTTCTGGCCAGGGCAGTCGGGCAAGAGAAAGAAATAAAGGGACTCCAGATAGAAAGAGAGGAAGTCAAACTATCCCTGTTTGCAGACAACATAATCCTAAATCTAGAAAACCTCATAGTCTTGGCCCAAAAGCTGATAAACAGCTTCAGCAAAATCTTAGGATACAGGGTCAACATATAGAAACTGCTAGCATTCCTATACACCAACAACAGTCAGGCCAACATCCAAATCAGGAACATGATTCCATTCACAACTGCCATGAAAAGAATGAAATACCTAGGAATACAGCTAATCATGGAGGTGAAAGATCTCTACAAGGATAACTACAAACCAGTGCTCAAAGAAATCAGAGATTACATAAATGGAAGAACAATCCATGCTCATGGATAAAGATGAATATTGTTAAAATGGCCATAATGTCCAAAGCAATTTATAGATTCAATGCTATTCCTATCAAACTACCAATGACATTCTTCACAGACTTGAAAAAAATATTTTAAAACTCATATGAAACCACAAGAGAGCCTGAATAGCCAAGGCAATCCTAAGCAAAAAGAACAAAGCTGGAGGCATCACATTACCTGACTTCAAACTATACTACAGGGCTACAGTAACTAAAACAGCATGGTAATTCTATAAAAACAGACACATAGATCAATGGAGCAGAACAGATATCCCAGAAATAAGGCCACACACCTACAACTATCTCATCTTCAACAAAGCTGACAAAAACAAGGAATGGGAAAAGTACTCCCTATTCAATAAATGGTGCTGGGACAACTGATTAGCCATACAGATGGAAACTCTTTCTTTACACCATACACAAAACTCAAGTCAAGATGAATTAAAGGTTTACATATAAAACCCAAAACTGTAAAAACCCTGGAAGACAGCCTAGGCAATACCATTCTGGACATAGGAATGGGCAAAGATTTCATGAAAAAGACATCAAAAGCAAATGCAGCAAAACCAAAAATTGACAAATGGGATCTAATTAAATAGTTTCTTCACGGCAAAAGAAACTGTCAATTAAGTAAACAGACAACCTACAGAATGGGAGAAAATTTTTGCAAACTATATATCTGACAAAGGTGTAATATCCAGCTCTATAAGGAACTTAAAACAAGAAAACAACCCTATTAAAAAGTAAGCAAAGGGTCGGGCGTGGTGGCTCATGCCTGTAATCCCAGCACTTTGGGAGGCTGAGGTGGGTGGATCATGAGGTCAGGAGATCAAAACCATCCTGACTAACATGGTGAAACCCCGTCTCTACTAAAAATACGAAAAAATTAGCCAGGCATGGTGACGGGCACCTGTAGTCCCAGCTACTCAGGAGGCTGAGGCAGGAGAATGGCGTGAACCCAGGAGGTGGAACTTGCAGTGAACTGAGATAGCGCTACTGCACTCCAGCCTGGGCGACAGAGCAAGACTCTGTCTCAAAAAAAAAATAAAATAAAATAAGCAAAGGACATGAACAGATGTTTTTCTAAAGAAGACATACATTCAGCCAACAAACATGTGAGAAAAAGCTCAACATCACTAATCATTAGAGAAATGCAAATCAAAACCACAGTGAGAAACCAGTCACACCAGTCAGAATGGCTATGATTAAGAAGTCAACAGATGTTGGGAAGGTTGTGGAGAAAATGACAGGCCCATACACTGTTGGTGTGAGTGTAAATTAAGTCAGCCATTGTGGAAAACAGTGTGGTGATTCCTCATAAAAGGAAAAGTAGAACTACCATTCAACCCAGCAATCTCATTACTGGGTATATACCCAAAGAATTATAAATCCTTCTATCATAAAGACACATGCATGTGTATGTTCATTGCAGCACTTTTCACAAGAGCAAACACATGGAATCAACCTAAATGTCCACCAATAGTAGACTGAATAAAGAAAATGTGGTACATATACACCATGGAATACTATGCAGCCATATAAAAAGAACAGGATCAGGCTGGCCTCAGTGGCTCATGCCTATAATCCCAGCACTTTGGGAGGCCAAGGTGGGTGGATCACAAGGTCAGGAGTTCAAGACCAGCCGGGACAACATGGTAAAACCCCGTCTCTACTAAAAATACAAAAATTAGCCAGGCATGATTGTATGCACCTGTAGTCCCAGCTACTTGGGAGACTGAGCCAGGAGAATCGCCTGAACCCAGGAGGCGGAGGTTGTGGTGAGCTGAGATGGTGCCACTGCACTCCAGCCTGGGCAACAGAGTGAGACTCTGTCTCAAAAAAAAAAAAAAAAAAAAAAAAGAACAGGATCATGGATGGAGCTGGAGGCCATCATACTTAGCTAACTAATATAGGAACAGAAAACTAAATACTGCATGTCCTCACTTATAAGTGGGAGCTAAATGATGAGAGCACATGGGCACATAGAGGAGAACAATACATACTGGGGCCTATCAGAGCGATGGAGGATGGGAGCGGGGAAAGGATCAGGAAAAACAAGTAATAGGTACTCAACTTAATGCCTGGGTGATGAAATAATCTGTACAACAAACCCCCCATGAAACAAGTGTACCTATGTGATAAACCTGCACATGAACTTAAAATAAAAATTAAAAGAAGATATAACAATTATAAATATATCTGCACTAAATATCAGAGCTCTTAACTATGTGATACAAATGTTGACAGAAATAAAAACAAGAAACAAAGACAATAATATAGGAGGCATCATTAGACCACTTTCAATAATGGGTAGAAAAATCAAATAGAAAATCAATGGGGAAACAGGACTGGTAAAATGCTGTACACCAATTGGACATACCAGATATATAGAGAACATGCCACACAACCACAGCAGAATATACAGTATTCTAAAGTGCACATTGAACATTCTCTAGAATAGACCATATATTTGGTCACAAAACAAGTTTAACAAATTTTAAAAGCAAATTATACAAAGTGTGTTTTCTGAGCACAATATGATGCACTAAAAATCAAGAGCAATGGGAAAACTGGAAAATTCACAAATGTGTGGAAACCAAGCAACAAACTGTTAACCAATGGAAAGCCTGGCACAATAGCACTCACTTGTAGTCCCAGCTACTTGGGAGGCTGAGTTGGAAGTAAGAGTTCTCAAGCCCTGGAGCTGAAGGCCAGCCTAGACAACAGAGCAAAAGCCAGTGTCAAAAACAAAACCACACAACCAATGAAGCTAAAGAAGTTACAAGAAAAATTACCTTGACACACACTAAAATGAAAGCACAATATCTGGGACACACAACATGAGATACAATCAAAGTAGTTGCAGAGAGGTAAATTTACAGCTGTAAATACATCTATCAGAAAAGAAGAAAGACCTCAAACCAACTACCTAACAATATCACATGTACTCCAAAATATGTACAAACAATATCACATGTACTCCAAAATATGTATAACTCTTATACATTATTTAAAAATAAGGGACTGGGTGCGATGGCTCATGCCTGTAATCTCAGCACTTTGGGAGGCCGAGGCAGGCGGATCATGAGGTCAGGAGATCGAGACAATCCTGGCTAACATGGTGAAACCCTGTCTCTACTAAAAATATTTTAAAAATACAAAAAAAAAAAAAAAATTAGCCAGCGTGGTGGCGGGCACCTGTAGTCCCCCTACTGGAGAGGTTTAGGCAGGAGAATGGTGTGAACTTAGGAGGCAGAGCTTGCAGTGAGCCAAGATCACACCACTGCACTCCAGCCTGGTTGACAGAGCGAGACTCCATTTAAAAAAAAAAAAAAAAGCTTAACCGTAGAAAAATCAACAAAACTGAATTCATTTTTTGAAAAGATGAATAACATTGGCAAATTTTGCCTACATTAAGAAAAAGACTCAAATAACTGAAGTTACAAATGAAAGAAGGGTAATTCAAGTGATGCCACAGAAATGAAAAGGAGTAAAGAGAATACAATGAATAGAAATTACACCAAGGAATTGGATAAATCAGAAGGAATAGGCTGGGTGTGGTGGCTCATGCCTGGAATCCCAGCACTTTGGGAGGCCAAAGCAGGTATCACCTGAGGTCAGTTTGAGACCAGCGTGGCCAACATGGTGAAACCCCATCTCTACTAAAAATACAAAAAAATTACTCAGGGGTGGTGACGCACACCTGTAATCCCAGTTACTCGGGAGGCTGAGGTAGAAGAATTGCTTGAGTCCCGGAGCCAGAGGTTGCAGTAAGCAGACATAGTGCCACTGTACTCCAGCCTGGGTGGCAGAGTGAGATTCTGTCTTTAAAAAAAAAAATACATTGCTAGAAACACACAACCTACCACGAGTAAATAGAAAGAAATAGAAAATCTGAACAAACCAGTAACTAGTAAGATTGAATCAGAAATAAAAATCTGAACAAAGAACAGCCCACAGTGAGATGGCTTCACTGGAGAATTCTATCAAACATTTAAAAATAATTTTATGCAGCCACAATAAAGAATGAAATCATGTCCTTGTGGCAACATGGTTGCAGCTAGAGGCCATTATCATAAGGAAACTAATGCAGAAACAGAAAACCAAATGTCACATGTTCCGACTTATAGTGGGAACTAAATCATAGGTTAATATGACCATAAAGATAGAAGCAACACATACTGAGGTCTCCAAAAGAAGGGAGTAAAGGAGTGGGGCAAGGGCTGAGAAACTTCCTATTGGGTACTATCTTCACTTTGTGGCTGATGGGATCAGTAGAAGCCCAAACCTCAACACTACACATACACCCTTATAGCAAACCTGTACAAATACACCTGAATCTAAGATAAAAATGAATTTTTTAAAAAATAAAAAGAAATTAACAATAATCCTAAAGGAGGAAGCACTCTGAAATTCATATAAAGATGCCAGTATTACATTGCTATCAAAACCAGATAAAGACATAAACAAGGCTAGGTATGGTGGCTTATGCCTATATTCTCAGCATCTTGGGAGATTAAGATGGGGATTGCTTGAGTCCAGAAGTTTGTGACAAGTCTGGGCAACTTAGGGAAACCCTGTCTCTACAAAAAAATTGTAAAAAGTTAGTTAGGCATGATAGTGAGCACTGGCAGTCCTAGCTATTCAGATGGCAGGATAGTTGAACCCAGGGGTTCAAGGTTACAGTCAGCTGCAATCACACCACTGCACTACAGCCTGGGCAACAGAGCAAGACCCTGTGTCCAAAAAAAAATTTTTTTTAAACACATAAAGACAAAAAGAAAATCACAGACCAGTATCACTAACAAAAATCTATGCAAAACTTCTCAGTAAAATACAAGCAGGTTGAATTTAACAGCACATTATAAGGATTATAGACTGGGCGTGGTGGCTCAAGCCTGTAATCCCAGCATTTTGGAGGCCAAGGTGGGTGGATCACTTCAGGTCAGGAGTTCGAGACCAGCCTGGCCAACGTGGTAAAACCCTGCCTCCACTAAAAACACAAAAATTAGCCACATGTGGTAGCCCAGGTGCAGTGGCATGCGCCAGTAATCCCAGCTACTTGAGAGGCTGAGTCAGGGGAATCACTTGACCTTGGGAGGTGGAGGTTGCAGTGAGCCAAGATCACACCATTGCACTCCAGCCTGGGCAGCAGAGCAAGACTCCATCTCCAAAAAATAAAAAAATAAACAATTACATAAGCCAGGTGCAGTGGCTCACACCTGTAATCCTAGCACTTTGGGAGGCCGAGGCAGATGGATCACCTGAAGTCAAGAGTTCAACGCCAGCCTGGACAACATAGTGAAACCTTATCTCTATTAAAAATACAAAAATTAGCTGGGAGTGGTAGCAGATGTCTGTAATCCCAGCTACTCGGGAGGCTGAGTAAGGCAGGACAATCTCTTCAACCCAGGAGGTGGAGGTTGCAGTGAGCTAAGATCACGCCATTGCACTCCAGCCTGGGCAACACAGAAAAAAATCAGTCTCAAAACAAAAACAAAAACAAAAACAATTATATACCATTACCAGTAAGATTTCACTGGATTTTAAGAATGGTTCAGCAAAACCTTTTAATACATCATGTTAACAAAAATAAAGGACAAAGGCTAATTTCAATTTACATAAAAAAAGCATGTGACAAGATTCCACACCTTTTCATTATAAAATACACTTAGGGAAGAAGGGAGAACCCTCAACATAATGATGGCAATTATTTTTATTTATTTATTTATTTATTTATTTTGAGATGGAGTCTTGCTCTGTCACCCAGGCTGGAGTGCAGCGGTGCGACCTCACCTTACTGCAAACCTCCTCCTCCCAGGTTCAAGTCATTCTCATGCTTCAGCCTCTTGAGCAGCTGGGATTTACAGACATGTGCCAGAACGCCCAGCTAATTTTTGTATTTTTAGTAGAGACATAGTTTCATTATGTTGGGCAGGCTAGTCTCAAATTCCTGACTTCAAGCCAACCACCTGTCTCAGCCTCTTAAGAGTGCTAGGATTATAGGTATGAGCCACCATGACTACCCGGGGCAATTTTACTTATTCTTGAGACGGAGTCTCCCTCTTTCACCCAGGCTGGAGGGAAGTGGCACAATCTTGGCTCACTGCAACCTCTGCTCCCTGGGTTCAAGCAATTCTTCTGCCTCGGCCTCCCGACTAGCTGGAGTTACAAGCACCTGCCACCACACCCAGTTGTTTTTGTATTTTTAGTAGAGACGGGTTTTCACCATGTTGGCCAGGCTGGTTTCGAACTGCTGACCTCAGGTGATCTACCCGCCTCAGCCTCCCAAAGTGCTGGGATTACAGGTGTGAGCCACCACTCCCAGCCAGCAATTATTTTTAAAAGCCCACAGGTAACACCTTATTTGATGGTGAAAGGCTGAAAACTTTTCTCTAAAATTAAGGAGGCAAGGCTGCTAAGTGAAATAAGCCAGTCACAAAAAAAATGCTGTATGATTCTAATAAAGTAGTCAAATTCATAGAAACATTACCAGGGCCTGGGCATCAGTGGAGAAAGGAAAGTTGTTTAACGGACGTTGAGTTTCAAATATGAAAGTTAAGAAACATTCACAACAATGTAAATATTCTTAGTACTACTAATCATATACACTTAAAATGGTTTAAATGGGAAATTGTATTTTTTTTTTTCACAATGAAACCAACTGACTGCTGGTGCCTATGCACAATTTTTTTATGTAGTAGGTCTAGGATGAGCCCAAGATTTTATATATCTAACAAGATTCAAGTAATGCTGATGCTGACCTGGCCCAGCCTCAAAAACCAGTGCTCCGAAATATCATACCTTTAAGATATTGGTCATAATGCTTAACGCTTTTCTTTACAAAAACCCTAGAATTCCTGAGAAGTTAAAAAATAATAAAAATTTAAAAAAAAATCAAATTGACATTGACATTGCCAGAAAACCAGTCAGTAAATTATCTTAGATGAAATCACAGGCCTGATTGGGTATGTTTATTTAGATTTTCTAAGACAACTAAGTTATTCATGATCTTATCTGGCTTACAACTCTGGCCAGTGACATTCACCATATTTTTTTAACATTTTAATGGCTTTAATTATTTACTGTTTGAACAATTAGACAAACACATTCCTAGAGTTGAAGAACTGCAGAATCTTTACAAAAGGTGTTTTGCAACTAAAGAGAGGTGATGGAAATGTAACATATGAATGTGCTAAATGCCACTTAACACATTTTAAGATAGTGACTTTTATCATGTGAATTTTACCTCTACAAAAATTTATGAGTCTCAGTCTTCTTTGTTGTAATCTGTTTGACTCCTGGTTAACTTCTACCAAGCTTCTAATTTTTGTCATAATACCCATCCCACAGTATTATGTGTGCACTAAAGATCTCCAAACTGAATACAAAGAGGTGACACACAAATGTGTAACTAGTGCAGGTTCTTCTGCTATGGACTTAGTGCCCTCAAAAACCACTTAAGGGCTGGTGCAGTGGTTTATGCCTGTAATAGCACCATTTTGGGACACTGAGGCGGGAGGACTCCTTGAGCCCAGGGGTTTGAGACCACCCTGCGCAACATGATGAGACCCAACCCCATCTCTATAAAAAATAAAAAATTAGCCAGGCATGACAGTACATGCCCATAGTCCCAACTACTGCGTAGGCTGAGGCAGGAGGATCGCTTGAGCCCAGGAGTTGAAGGCTGCAGTGAGCTGAGATCACACACCACTGTACTTGAGCCTGGGCAAATGAGTGAGACTTTGTTGTTAAAACAAAAACAAAAACCAAAAAAAAAAAAAGAAAAAAAAGCTTTATGCAAGGAAAATTTATTTCAGCAAGTGCAGATGCTAACCAAACCATCTTTCATTAAGATAAAACAAAAAATTGACTTTCAAGAACACATTAAGCAAAGGCCTCATCAACTAGCGCAAGTACTCTGAAATACTACTTGTAAATTCATAAGGTTACCAATATTTACATAAAAAGCATTTTGTATTCCACTGATGTACAGAATGAACTAAGTGGGGAAATAAAAATAGTCCACTATGTTTTATGTTTATTAAGACTTAAAACTGCGTGTTTTAAAGAAAGAGTTAACTTAGTATTGGTATCATATACAAGTAAACATTTATTAACAGTAAAATATTATTTTTATTTTTGCATATTCTCAAATACACATTTACAATAGTATCACACTTCCTATATGAATTCTTCATAGTTATTTTAAGTATTTTACAATTTGTACAGAGGAAGGGACATACAATATCTAATAGGCTATTTTTCAACCAAATAATAATTTATGTCCTTGTAAGATTTTGTACCTCTTTAAAACTTTCAACTTCAACATCCACTTTTTTAGCTTTGCTAATCAAATTAAGAATTAAAACCAGCCTGCAAATAATAACAGTATATAACATTAAGCACAATTTCATTTCTTTCTTTATACAAATGTTCTATATTTACTTGACCAAATGCTTAATTACCTTTTAAAGGTTTCAATACCGTGGTTAAAAACAAAACAACTGTGTATACCTCCAGACTATATGAAAAATATGAAATATGTAAAGTGTCACGTTTTTTACCTTAGTTTATTTTTAAAAGATAAATAGCTAACTATCTGTATTAATTTTAAAGAATGTTTTAAAACTCTTAAACTTTCACTTAAATACTTCCTTTTATATTACTTCAGGGAGAAAACAAATTGGAAGGAGATTTAAAGGATTCTCAAATACAAACTGAAGTTTTCAAGAACAGGATCATGAAGGACAGTAAAAATCAGGTAGGGACATGTATAAAGGCTAAGAAGGCCTAACAGATTCTTAAAATCCATTACATGGTTTTGGATGGTACTAGGTTTAAATTCATATATGACTAAAGCACTTTAGAACTAGATCAAATTAATCTAACATTTCAGAGGCTGCCAATCACCAAATATAAATTTATATTTCCTAATCCTATAACTTTTGAATTGGTGGCACAGAAAAAGGTGAAAATAAAAACCTGACAGCAAAAGTTGAATGAAGCACTACCATACTAAAGCTAGAAGGTAGCTGTAATGTGGGTTAAAAAAAATTCGAATCCCCTAAAATATTCCAAATACACAGGTACCAACAGCCAAATTAAGGAACCTAAAAATGTATTTTCCATTCTCCAAATTCTTATTAACCAAATTCTTTTTAATTATATGAATTCATTTTATATTATATCCATACATATAAATTATTAACTGCTTAATAACATTAACTTATTAACTCTCAAATAAATAATAAAATTTGGAAAGTGATATATATTCCAAATAAGGCCATGGATTTTCATTATGTACTTTTATCTTCTAATCAAAATCAACTTGACTGTTGTCTTTTTAAAACTTTACTCAATGTAAAATAGAAAGCAGGATGAAGTTGCTAATTTGGAATTAGCTCTCATTCTGTTACATGGTACCATCATTTTCCCTTAGTCCTCCTTACTTTGCAAAGAGACAGCGTTCCTTCACAGGATTCTCAGAAAAATACTATGAAATCTATGTCTGAAATAGCTTTCCAGAAAAATTTATGATATGAAGCTGAAATTGTATGAAAACATTCTATCTAGAAACATCTTACCTTCCATTTTTATCTATCAAAGATTATTTGAAGAGAAGATTTTCACTCTCCTAATGTCCTTTTCTTTTTAATTATTCACCTCAAATTTAGTAACTGAATAACAAGTTACAAAATGCTCTCATACATCTCTGGATCTTTCAGGTTATTGTAAATTTTCATCATAAGTTTAAAATTTGTGGTTGTGTGTGTAAATATGTAATAAGCAACAAAGATGCATATACAAGATTTAGAGTTACACACCAAGTTTCAAAAAATCCTGAGTCCACAATTTACCTCTAAAAGACTCCAAAATTCAGTGAGCAGTAAGTCTCATGTGTTGGAACACAATGCAAGACAAAGCAGTACAAAGAGAAAACAGAAGATAAAAATAAGTAAAACTATTACTTTCTAAAAGTTTGCTGTGCTGACAAAAGATGTAAACACTATTAATGAAAGTTAAGGGAAGTACATTTTGTCTGCTGAACAAAATGAAATTTAAACATAAACGTGGTCAATATCCTATATTAATCAATGCTAGAAGCTCAAATGTAAAATTTTATCATGTAATCTGAAAATACTGACAAAAAAATTATTACCACGTTTTGCTAATTGGACTTGACAGTAAAACCTCCCATTTATATTAGCAGATGTCTCCAATGTGAAACACTTGTGTAGGAGGAAATGGGTCAAAAATGTTACTTTCATAGTTATCAATCTGATTTTGTCTTAGAAGAGTACCATGAACATGAATAAATATGTAAATAAATAGTAAAGCTTTTATGACTGAAAATTCAGTATAGAATCACAAATTATTTTATTATAAGCAACTTGCTTGTTGCTATTTTTCCTCATCTATTAAAGAAACTGAATAGGATTCAGGACAGCGTATTGAATAAAATGTAAAGAAAAGTGGACTAGAAGCAATAATTCTATTTTTACACAGCATAATTCAATGTATAGTAATGGATGTGAACAAGACTGGCTTTAAAAAATGAATTTTCTGCTTCAAGGCCAACATCTTTACAAGCTTGTAGACACACTGTTAGGGCAGACCAACTTCTTTATGGTGTCTCATTATGTGCTGGTTCTTTTCTGAAGGTCTTCGGAAGCCTTTCTTGCAGTACTCACACCGATGAGGATAGTCTTTTGTATGAATGGAAATAACGTGCCGTTTAAAGCCTGAGGCATCTGTAGTGCTATACTCACAGTACTCACACTGATATACTTTCCTGCCACTGTGTGTCTTCATATGCTTTTTAAGCTCATTTTGTTGCCTAAATCCCTTTCTACATCTCTTACACCTAAATGGAAGATCCTTTGTGTGAACTGAGAGAATATGGCGACTTAGAACAAATGGGTCTGCAATCTTAAAGTCACAATGTCTACATTGGTGCATTTTTTTACCTTTGTGGACAGCCACATGTTTCTTAAGTTCTGAAGGCCTGTGAAAGCCTTTCTCGCACATCTCACACTTATGAGGATAGTCTTTCGTATGAACTGAAATTACATGTCGTTTCAAATCACTTGAGTTTGAACTCTTGTGGTCGCAATGCAAACACTGATGTGTTTTGCTTTCTTGGTGGACAAGAGTATGTTGCTGCACTTCTTTGGTATCTGAGAAAGTCAGAAGACAAATGTCACACTTGAATGGCATCTCTTTACTATGCTTTGTTTTTATATGTGTTTTCAAGTTAGAAGAGTCTGCAGACCTATATTCACAGTACTGGCATTGGTATGGCTTCTCGCCGGTATGGATTCGCATGTGCTTTCTCAGTTCCGACGGGTGTCGGAAACCTTTACCACACTCCACACAAATATGAGGAAAGTTCTTGCTGTGGACTGCCAAGAGGTGGCGATTCAATAACCCCTGTTCAGCTGTCTCATATTCACAGAATTTACACTTGTGCATTTTGTTGGCCCCTTTTTCCTTATGCACCATTTTGTGAGTAAACAAAGCCCCTGCATGAGAAAAATGCTTCCCACACTCATCACATTCAATGGCCTTCTCTGCCTTGCTGGTCAGCTTGTGGCTCTCCAGGTGGTTATGTAAACTTATCTTCTTATTGGTAGTGTAATCACAGTCAGTACAGTGGTACTTCTTCTTGGCAAGGTGTTCAGGATGGTTTTTCATGTGTCTTTTCAAAAAACCCCTCGACTTAAACTTCTTCCCACAAATCATGCAAGGATAGACAGTCAAAGGATGACCATCAGGGCCAATAATTATTGCTAAGAAAGGAAAAGAAAGCAGTATGAGTGCTTAATCAAACTTCTGGTCTCCTCATGAATTTTTTAAAGCTTGTGTTCTGAACATTAGTGGGCAAATACTTTTAAATTATTAACATTCCTTTTACTGCTTTTCAATGTTAAGAGTTATAATAATGTCCTAATCGAGAGAACTGGTTTGGTTAAGTATGAACCAATCTCACCCCCTCCAGTTAAAAAAAAAAAATCAATCAAGCAGTGACAAAAGAACATGAATTTAGAAATGTGTAGCAAATAACTCATAAAAATCAAGTCCAGCATTTCTGCTTTGGTGACTGACTCCAAGCCAAATATATGCAAACAGTAAAGCTTAACTGCACCTATAAATAAATTTTAATATGCAAAGCAGCATTCAAAACAACATAGGATAGTAATCAGTCCTACAAATAACCTAGGTACTTCTTCCACTTCTCGGTAAATTATACCTGCTTTATGCTAGTATAAGTAGATCCATGTAATTTCGTTCACTTAAAGTTAGGTAACATTTTAGAAATTTATTTTCCTTTTCACTAAAATCACCAGAGGATTTTAATTCTTTTTCCTGAATGGTTGATGCACAACTGTTTCTTCTTATCCAAGAAAACCATTCATGAATATCACTGAATTTTGAAATTTTTTCTTTCAAATTCAACACATAAAAATACATGTGGCCTACTAGCTAAAACTCCATCATAACACCCCTGTGGAACTCACCTGTTTGGTACTGCCTGGAATCAGGTCTTCTCTTTTTCTTTGGTTTCTGTTTAGCCAGTCTGCCAAGGCCAGCAGACTCATCTATGTGCAAGAGGGCACTTGCAGTGCCATTCCGGTTTTCAATTCCATCAGAATTATTACCTAACAATGTGCATTAAAACACAGAATTACACAACATTATAAATTCTAAAGAATTACGAATTCTTTATTAACAACAAGAAGTCCTGACACTCATGAATGACAGAAAGTCCTTACTTTATTTATTTTTATTCTTTTTTTTTTTTTTTTTTTTTTTTTTTTGAGACAGAGTCTTGCTCTGTCACCCAGGCTGGAGTACAGAGGTGTAATCTTGGCTCACTGCAACCTCCTCCTCTCAGGTTCAAGTGATTATCCTGCCTCAGCATCCTGAATAGCTGGGATTACAGGAACAACGCCATCACACCCATCTCATTTTTTTGTATTTTTAGTAGAGAGGAGGTTTCACCATATTGGCCAGGCTGATCTTGAACTCCTGACCTCAGGTCATCCACCTGCCTCAGACTCCCAAAGTGCTGGGATTACAGGCAAGAGCCACACCTGGCCCCCAATTGTAGACCATGTGTTTTATGGGCATATATATGGCAAGACCAGGGGAAGTGCCTAGCTTCCGTATCTAGCAGCATGCTGCTCTACTGGACTCCCTGCTATCTCCCAAAAATTGTAAAGTTATGTGTCACCTATAAACCAAGATTTAAAATGTTAGACTGAAAGCTCCCACACTTCTTACATAATAAAAGAAGTTCATGTTAAAATTAAAGGCAACAGGGAGACTATTTAATCCTCCTCTACTTTTGCTTAAATCATGAAACCCTAAAAAAAACCCTTTTTTTTTTTTTTTTTTTTTTTTTTTTTTTTTTTTTTGAGATGGAGTCTTGCTCTGCTGCCCAGGCTGGAGTGCAGTGGCGCAATCTCAGCTCACTGCAAGCTCCACCTCCCAGGTTCACGCCATTCTCCTGCCTCAGCCTCCTCAGTAGCTGGGATTACAGGTGCCTGCCACCACGTCTGGCTAATTTTTTAAAAATATTTTTTAGTAGAGACAGGGTTTCACCATGTTAGCCAGGATGGTCTCAATCTCCTGACCTCGTGATCCGCCTGCCTCAGCCTCCCAAAGTGCTGGGATTACAGACATGAGCCACCACGCCTGGCCAACAGAAACCACTTTCAACAGTGAATTAATGTTCAAAAACTACTCAATCCTTCTGGCTTCTATGTAAGTTACCATAAGCTGCTGCCCATGCAATTGGTACGAAGGTTTTCATTTCATCCTCATCAATTTGCTGCTCATGCACAGCAGCTGCTGCTGCTGCAACAGCAGCATCCTCCTCTCCTACGATCACTTCCATATAAACTTCATCAGCAATTTCAGCAACATCTAAGCACAAAATAAATAAAAAATTTTTTGTGACTAGGTTTACAGAGATCACACAGAAAAAATTCATTAGTAGGAAAAAATAAACATTGGTTGAATTATTCGTTTCTTGGCTTTCACCATAATTAGTTTATAAAGCAACTATCAAAACATACATAGTCACTGATATCTATTCTTGGAATACGGCAACACAGTAATCTCTACAACAGCGCTGCTTATTTTTTTTCAAATATTGGTTACATTAAAAAAAAAGACGACAGCTTGGGCAGGGCACAGTGGCTCACGCCTGTAATCCCAGCACTTTGGGAGACCAAGGTGGGCGGATCACGAGGTCAAGAGATCGAGACCATCCTGGCCAACATGGTGAAACCCTCATCTCTACTAAAAATACAAAAATTAGCTGGGTGTGGTGGCACGTGCCTGTAGTCTCAGCTACTTGGGAGGCTGAGGCAGGAGAACTGCTTGAACCCAGGAGGTGGAAGCTGCAGTGAGCGGAGATTGCTCCACTGCACTCCATCCAGCCTGGCAACAGAATAAGACTCTGTCTCAAAAAAAAAAAAAAAACACACCTTGTAGAAACATAAAACCCTCTCCCACAAAAAAAGCCACATACTGGCACATATACATCATGGAATACTATGCAGCCATAAAAAAGAATAAGCTCATGTCCTTTGCAGGGACATGGATGAAGCTGGAAACCATCATCCTCAGCAAACTAACACAAGAACAGAAAACCAAACGTCACATGTTCTCACTCGTAAGTGGGAGCTGAACAATGAGGACACATGGACACACGGAGGGGAACATCACACACTGGGGCCCACTGTGGGGTGGGGTGCAAGGGGAGAGAGAGCATTAGGACAAATACCTAATGGATGGGGGGCTTAAAAGCCTAGATGATGGGTTGATAGGTGCAGCAAACCACCATGGCACATGTATATCTATGTAACAAATCTGCACATTCAGCACATGTACCCCAGAACTTAAAGTAAAAATTTTTTTTTAAAAAGCCACATACTTAAATCTTCATCTTCTTGTTGAGAGTCATTGACAGTCATATAAACCATCTTTTCCCTGGGAACACGAATACTGCTGTTCTGATCAAGTAGTTCAACTCCATGATCATTTTCAGGTTCACTCTCCACAATGTCTACAGTTCCACCTATCAGAGAATATGAAAGCTCCAAAAATTATTTGAGAGTTCATTTTCACATATTTTGCTTACACGTTTTAGTGTATTTTTATATTACTAACTCAAAAATATGTCTTAAAAGTTGTCTTTGGAAAAGAGTTCAAATTTTCCAATCTAAATAACCTAAACTAAATGTTAAGTATCAATGAAAAAAAGTAACCTGTTTACTTTTTTTGACACCATTTGGTTGAAACATTTGGATGACAATGTATAAAATGCTGACAGCTTCCTCTTACCTAAGTCATCTTCTCCAGGGTCAGCTTTAAAAATGTACACCTTGATGACTTCAGGACAAGTGCTATCCACTTTACAAGGATCCATTTCTGATTCTGCATCGATGGTCACTCCAGTGGAACCATCATGTTCTATTTTGCCAGCATCATCCACTGAAAAGGCAGAAAATATATCATCAACCATAACAGCAGATTCTTTAAAACTTAAGAAAACTAATGAAAGGACATATGTCATCTTTGTTTATCATAAAGTAAAAGCATACAATATTACAAGTATTCTGTTTTATTTTTTGAGATGGGGTCTTTTCTTTTTCTGTCATTCAGGCTAGAGTACAGTGGCACAATTATAGTTCACTGCACCTTTGACCTCCAGAACTCAAACAATCCTCCTGTCTCAGCCTACTTGAGTAGCTGGGACAAAAGGCGTATGCCACCATGCTCAGCTAATTTTTTTATTTCTTTGTACAGACAAGGTCTCACTGGTTTTCTCTAGCTTATCTCCAACTCTTGGGCTCAAGCAATCCTCCCACCTCAGCCTCACAAAATGCTGGGATTACAAGCTTGAGCCACTGCATCCAGCTTACCAATGTTCTTGAAGATCTGAAAAATAATGTCCTACTAGTAAATTCAGTACACACTAGTCCTAATATATTTTATGAGCATTACCTAACATTCAGTACTTCTGAATACAATTGTCTTATCTGTTCTATGAGAATCATAAACTTTTTAAAAATCAAAATATGGTTGTCAGAAACATAAATTCTGGCTGGCCATGGTGGCACATGTCTGTAATCCCAGCACTTTGGGAGGCCGATGCAGCGGATCACCTGAGGTCAGGAGTTTGAGACCAGCCTGGCCAACATAGTGAAACCTCTGTCTCCACTAAAAATGCAAAAAAATGAGTTGGGCATGGTGGCAGGAGCCTGTAGTACCAGCTACTCAGGAGGCTGAGGCAGGAAAATCACTTGAACCCGGGAGGCAGAGGTTGCAGTGAGTCAAGATTGCACCACTGTACTCCAGTCTGGATGACAGAGTGAAACTGTCTCAATAAATAAATAAATAAATAAATAAATAAATAAATAGTTGTAAATTCTGATATTAACCTGTTCAAACCTAACACTACACACACATGCATTTTTAAAAAAAACCACACACACAAAACATATATATGAGTTCTAATGAGTCTGGGTCTACTGCTGGCAAATACAGTAAGATGTATACTTAAGTATCTTCTTAAATACTTAAGGCAGCCTGTTTCATGTTTATGTATTAAAAAAAAAAAAAAGAATCCTTACTTACCGATAAAGTGAACATATGATTTCCAACAGTGGGCTCAGGGAATCTACAACAAACTTTTAAGTGTTACACGGTAAGGGAATCAAGTGTGGTGTTATGCTTGGGACTTCAAAATTAACAAAAGTAAAAAATAATGTCTTAAAAAATACATTCTGGATTGCAGTAAATACCAAAAATACAACCCCCATATAATGTAACCTTACACTACACACCACTGTGGGCACTGACTACTATCTTTAGCATAACAGAAAGTGTGGCACAGACTAATGAACACATAGCACATAGTACAATTTAATTTATCACAAAAATTGGATTTTTCAATGTTTGGTCCATTAGAGAAACACTAAGTAATGTTCTCTCTGTTCTGGGCCCACCTGGTCAGTATGACACAGCAAGAGACCAACCACAGAGGAGGAGGACCCCAAGAAGTTTTTTCATTTCCCCTTTCCCATTTTAGTTTTGTTTTTGTAATCCTCTGCTGAATATATTTCATTATCCTTTTGGCTAAATGTTTATGTTTAAGTCAATTAAACAATGATTCACAACTATCAATCAGACTCTGGGCAAGTATTAGAGGTGCAAACTTTAAAAGAAACTGACCCAAGGCCAGGCGTGGTGACTCACACCTGTAATCCCAGGGCTTTGGGAGGTGGACGTGAGTGGATTGCTTGAGGCCAGCCTGGCCAACATGGCAAAACATGTTTTCTACTGAAAATACAAAAATTAGCTGGGCATAATGACACATGCCTGTAATCCCAGCTTCTTGGGAGTCCGAGGCACAAGAATCGTTTAAACCCAGGAGGCAGAGGTTGCAGTGAGCTAAGATCTCACCACTGCACGCAAACATGGGCAACAGAGAAAGGCTGTCTCCAAAAAAAAAAAAAAAAAGTAATGGACCCAAGAAATTTGTAATTCAGTGAAAAAGCAGACAGGTGAACAGATGATTATTTTAAAATGTGATCATAATAATGTAGTTACTTTTTATTAAGTGATTACTGAAAGCATTACTTAATACTCATAACTCCATGAGGAAGTGCTATAATACTGTCGACATTTTACAGTAAAGCAAACTGAAGTTTAGAAAACTTGAATGATTTATCTAAGGTCACACATCTAGTAACTGGCAAAACCAGAATTCAAATCTTGATCCATGTAATTCACAAGAAACCACCATCAACCTCTGGTGTTTGAAGAATGCTGTTAAGTTTAAATTGTTAGAGGCAATAATAATTTTTTGTAAGAAATAAAGAACAGTATAACAAAAGATGTTTTTCATTAGTGTAGAGCAGATAAATGTATTCACAACTCAACTACAATAAGCATTACTTACAAAAGGCAATGGTAATAGTTTTGACTATTTTAGGTTTTAAATTCTTAGTCTTAACTTTCAGCAGTGGCTTATAAACACAGAATTTAGATTTTGAAATCTCTGCATACTTTTCAAATTCCCCGTCTTGTTCTTCAAAAGATCCAAAACTATATTTGTCTAATCAAAATTATCTAAAGCCAACATAAAAAAAACAAAAATACAATGACGATATAATTTAGTTTCTTACTAGAAATTATGGACTACTTTCAAATAGCATCTCCTTGTTACAAACACGGATATTATAAAATCTAACTACTTAACCTACAATATGAGAACTTGAAACACTGGGCTACTAAAAGCAACTAAAACTTAACTACTTAAACACAAGATGTAAGAACCCAAAACAATGGGGAAAAGAGTTTTTTTGTCTATTTTGGATACAGTAACATTGGCAAATCACATTTTAATATACACTTGTCTTCAAAACAAAATGTCACTTAGACACTACCTGATTCCTTAAAGTAAATTTAAAAGATTACTTAGAAGAAAAAGTTAAAATCTCTCTTTTTTTTTTTTTTTTTTTTGAGATAGGAGTCTCAGTTACTCAGGCTGGAGTGCACTGGCGCTATCTCAGCTCACGGCAACTCCCAAGTTCAAGTGACTCTCCTGCCTCTGCCTCCCAAATAGCTGCGATTACAGGCATTGCCATCAAGCATTGTTAATTTTTGCATTTTTAGTAGAGATGGGGTTTTGCCATATTAGCCAGGCTGGTCTTGAACTTCCCGACCTCAAGTGATCCACTTGCCTCAGTCTCCCAAAGTGCTGGGATTACAGGCTCAGGCCACTGCACTTGGCCTAAAATTTCTTTAAACATAAAAATATACTAATTTTGAACTCTAGTGCAATCTTTAATGTTAACATTGGTGTAAATTATTTTTATTAAAATTGATTCATTTTCTCATCCAATGAAATAATATTTTATAAATTTTCAAGGTGTCCATATGAGTGTTACTATAAAACAGGCTGGGGAGTCAGAAACGTTTTGGCAAATGTTGCAAAGTGCAATAACAGCTGCCACAAAAAAAAGTGAAGGTACGTTATGTAGACTGGAAGAGAATGGCACTTATTCTATGCAAAGGATACAGCAGGTAGGGGGACAGGACAGTAAGAGAGTGTGTTCTTCAATACTGCTGCAAATTAGGCCATAGTGGGAAATGTGAACTACAGGTAAAGCAAAACCAGGTCATGGAGGACTTTATGCACCAGGCAGAGGGGCTCAAACTTAATTCTGGTAGACTGCAAGTTTCTCAATCTGATTAAAACCAGATCTGCAGGTATGGAATGAACTTGTATACAAAATAGACTTCAAGGTATCCTACTCTTGGGGATTCTTATCAGAGATCTGATAATTTCTGCTTTTAAAAAGACCAGTCACTAAGATCAGTATTTTTGCCAAAGCATCCTGCTGGCCTTATAAAAAAGCAGATTTGAAGAGATCAAGAAATGAAGCAGGGCACTACAGCTTCAAGTACATTTAGGTGACAGATAATGAAGCCTTGAATCAGGACAGAGGTAGTATAAATTGGGATAAAGGCTGGAGTTGGGTCATATTTAAGAATAAACTGAGAAGACGGAATGAATGACATATGAAGCCACCTACAGAATATTCAACTCTGAAAGCTGAAGATCAACACCAATTTGGAAGCCATCAGCAAACTGCAGTGTAAAGAAAATCATGAGCTGTAAAGAAATCATGAGTGTAAAGAAAATCACAGTCCCAGTGAGATTACAATTTAAGGCAGGGGCAAGAAAGAATTCACAAATTAACCTAAGTAGTAAAAGCTGGAGAGGTAATTGGAAGGGCATGAAACAAGCTAGGGAGTTAAAGATTCCAATAATGCTAGTAAAACCTGCTGTAATAACACAAGCCAATCAGCTACGAAAGGGAGAGGTGAGGAAATGAGAAGGATGTCTGTCTTTATAATTCACAGCTTAATTTTTAGCTAGTCATGTTATCTCACTTCTCTTTGTTTTCCTCAGAAAAAGAATTACAGTTTTGCTGACAAAAAAAATTGGATGTTGGATTTCCACTGGACTGCATTTTGTCTAAATTAATATCATAAAAACGTTGCTATTCTTTTGCTTTGCAGTCTTACAATGCAAGAACATGGCTTGTGCCTCTCCACTCAAATTGTCTCATCTTTCAAAACCAGGTTGTTAAAGTTCATTTACCACCAACCTCAGAAACAAACAGTTTACCTGATTTCTCTCTCCTAAGGTTTCCAACCAAACACCCTGACATTGGTATCAATGGTATCAAGAAAATTGGTATCAATTTTCTGTCTTCTTAAAAGAAAGATCCAGTTACTTTACCCTCCAGCCCTAGTCTCTAGCACTCCTTTTCCTACCAAGTAAAATACAAATTGCACAGTCTAGCAACCAAAATCTGCCCAAACTCCTTTGGTCTTTACAGTATTATTGTCCTCAATATCTCATGGGCCCCAAATTTAAACAATACTATTTTATTATTTATTCCCTTATGCTTCTTCAACTTTGCCCTAAAAGATAGCTTTTTCTTGAGATGATCCACTTTAATATTTAAGAAACTACTTAAAAATTAAAGAGTGCTCAAAAACAAACCATCTGAAATATGAATAGAATTTACAATAATATTATTCAGATATTTCTCAATGCATATATATAAGTAAAAGAACAGAAAGGACAAATACAAGTTTAAAATTAAAATTGAAATGTTACTTTTAAACAAAAATTTTATAGCAATTTGAACAAGTAAAACAGCTTAATTCCATGGCTGGTCATTCTAACTGTTCTCTTGCATATTTTTTCAACTCCTATGCCCCTGACTGATTTCATAATACTTGGCTGGCAAAACCACAAACCTGCCTGATATAATTTATGTCAGCATCTACATCTATGCAGCTAAGTCTAGATAGAAAAAAAAAGCATGATGTAGATAGCATCATCTTTAAATATACAATATGAATCTTGAGTAGATGCTATTTGCCATATTTTTCTTAAAATTCCAATACTGCCTGCCTGTTGATCTTATTTCCCACCTTACGAAGAACCCAAAACAGAAAAGATGATCTGCTGTCTGCCACATCTGTCCTACTGTCAACAACTAATTCACAAACTTTGTATTTCCTGCACACTGCCACAGACAAGCAGTGTTCCTTTCCACTTAAAAACAATACCTCCACATAAGCACTAAATTATACCTTCTCTTTTCTGTTTTTTTGCAGTTATCCCTTAAACCATCAATTTATCTATCACCCAGTAAAGGAACACTCCCATCAGGAAACAAATAAGCTTTTTCTCTTGAAACAACACTAAAACAAACAAAAATTCCATCTCCTCTTGATCCCACTTCTCCTGCAAGCAACTGTTTCATATCTCCAGTGATTCTCATTGCACATTCTTTCTCTAAACTTATTTAATACTTCCATCAAGCTTTTGTCCATGATTTCACTGAATCTGTTCACCAAAGACATACATGACCAATTCTGAGTCCTCATCTGACTTGCCTAAGTTGCTGCATTTGATGCAAACTGTCACTGTCCTCTCTACTAAGATTAATACATGCATTTCCTTTTTGAAGTTTATGATACAACTCAAACTGAAGTCTATGACAAACTGTCATCCTTCCAGCAAGGCATCCTTGACCATCTCTGAAACTCACAATCATTTTGATTAAACTCTTCTACTTTCCCAAGACACATTCTAATATACATTTAAATAATTTGATACAGGTACAGCCATACTACAAGTCCACAATGATGAGAGAAAGGAATCTCTATTTTGTGCACTGATGTATCTCAAGACTTGACAATACTGTCTAGCCTTAGTAACTATCTAACATTCAATTTGTTATATGAATGATGATCAATTAAATGTCTATTAATTCAAGAGAAGATTTTAAAATACTCTAAGAAAAATACGATAAAAATAATAGGTAGGAATCATATTGTAAAGATATTATCTACTGTCACCTGCTATAAAAGATGAAAACAACCGGGCACAGTGGCTCACACCTGTAATCCCAGCACTTTGGGAGGCAGAGGCGGGCGGTTCATGAGGTCAGGAGATTGAGACCGTCCTGGCTAACACGGTGAAACCCGTCTCTACTAAAAATACAAAAAAGAGACTACCCAGGCATGGTGGCAGGCACCTGTAGTCTCAGCTACTTGGGATTCTGAGGCAGGAGAATGGCGTGAACCCAGCAGGCGGAGCTTGCAGTGAGCTGAGATCCTGCCACTGCACTCCCGCCTGGGTGACAGAGCAAGACTCCGTCTCAAAAAAAAAAAAAAAAAAAGTGAAAACATGAACATATTTGCACATCATGCCACGGCAAATATTTTCGTTAATATTTTGTAGACATTTACCATGTTACATAACCTTAATTTGTATAAATGTTTACTCCAATTTTACATTAAATTAATTCAAAAATCACTACTCATTATTTTATCAGTTCTCCATTCTTGAGTCTTTTTCTACTAATTCATCTTTTGGTTTATGGTACCAAGCAGCAACTCCATCACACATGGGTGTTAAAATTTCTGAAATCCTGGATGTTTGAAAATGTCTACCTGTAATTTTGACTTGAATAATTTGTCTGGGTATAAAATTCTTAAGCTATACTTTCCTCAGAAACTTTAGGCTTTGTTGCACTGTGTATAGCATTGAGTATTTTGATGTGGGTGACTATATAATTCTTGATCCTTAAGTTCATTAATATAATGATGATTATTAATAGTTTTTACTGGGTGTGGTGGCTAATGCCTGTCATCCCAGCACTTTGGGAGGCCGAGGTGGGTAGATCACCTGAGGTCAGGAGTTCAAGACCAGCCTGACCAACAAGGTGAAACCCCATCTCTACTGAAAATACAAACATTAGCCAAGCATGGTGGCAGGCACCTGTAGTCCCAGCTACTCGCGAGGCTGAGACAGGATAATTTCTTGAACCCAGGAGGCGGAGGTTACAGCGAGCCGAGATTGAGCCACTGCACTCCAGCCTGGGTGATGGAGCAAGACTCCATCTCAAAAAAAAAAAAAAAAGTTTTATTCGTCTCTCAATTTCTTAGCAGAAAATGAATTGCCTTAAAAGATTCCAATTTTTTTTTTTTGGCACTGAGAGGAAATTCACATAATATGAGTTACTATTGCATAGTATGTAAAGCATACAAACCAGTGGGTTTTCAGACAGCTGTGCAAATTCACAGAGCTGTGCAAGCAACACCACTAATTGCAGAAAATTTCTATCACCCTCACAAGAAATCGCTGTACCATTTAGCTACTACTCCCTATTCCACACAACACTATCCACGAACACTAGGCAACAATATACTTTTTGACTTTACATACATACCTATTCTAGATACTGCACCCACTTCTTGCACTTTGACACAATGTTTTCAAAGTTCATCCATGCTATGGCATTCATCAGTGCTTCATTACTTTTTATGATCAAATAATATTTCATTAGACAGATATACCACATTTTATCAATTCAACTGATAGATATTAAAGTTGTTGCTACTCTTTGGCTACTATGAATAATGATGCTATGAACATTTGTACAATATATAAACTGTTTTGTGGACATATGTTTTCAGTTCTCTTGGGTATATCCAGAAGAGAGCTGCTGGGTCATATGGTAATCCTATGTAAATTTAACTTTTCCAGGAATTGCCAAACTTTGTCACAATGGCTGTACAACATCAGTGAGCCGAAGTCATACCACTGCATTACAGCCCGGGCGACAGAGAAAGACTCCATCTCAAAAAAAAAAAAAAAGGATGGATGGAAGAGAAGGAAAGGAAGAAAGGAGAAAAGGGAGGGAGGGAGGGAAGGAGGGAGGACTTGTATGTGAGAAGTGACTTCTACCTTACTGCTTTAAAAAATGTATCTGTCTTTTGACAACATAAAATGTCTTGTGTCTAAACATGGATCCCTTGTAATTCACGCAACTTCTTACAAGTGAAGATTACAGTTTTTCATCAAATTTGTGAAGTTTTCAGCTATTATTAAACTATTCTTTAAGCCAATTTCTTTCTTCCCTCTCACTCCTGGTACAGTATATCTTGGTATGCTTACTTCATGGCGTTCCATAGATTATATAAGACTATATTAATTTGTCTTATTTTTCTTTCTCTTCAGACGAGATAATCTTAATTGAAGTTCCTACAAGTTTGCTGATTCTTTCTTCTGCCTGTTTAAATCTACTTTTGAGTTCATCTGGTGAAATCTTCATTTCAGTTGTCATAATTTTCCACCCCAGATTCTATTTAGTTCTTTTTAATTTCTGATTATTGATATTCTCCACTTAATGAGACATCATTCTCCTACTTTCCTTTATTTCTTCACACATGACTTCCTAATTAGGCCTTTGAACAATGTAATATAACTGATTTATAAGCTACTCTAGTTACTGTGTCTGGACTTCCTTAGAATGAATTTCTGTTGGCTGTGCTTTTTCTTGCGTATAGGCTGTACTTTTTTTTTGGTTTTGTGCCTGTCTCATTTTTTGTTGTTGTTGAAAACTGAACATTTAAAATAATATAATTTGGCAACTGTGAAAATCAGATTCTTCATTTTCCTAATGTGTGTTATGATTGGTTACTGTTGCTTAGTAAACAACAGTACTGTGACTTTCCTAAACTAATCCTATAAAGTGTGTGTGTGTTTTGTCATATGCAGCAATTTAAAAGTCTATCTAATTACATAAAATACATATTCAGCTTATGACTTGACAGAGATGTGTAGAACCAGCAGTTTTTGGCTCCACATGCATGTTGAAATATTCATTCAGGCTGTTTATAGTTCTACACTGGCTTTTATTTATTTGGGCAGCCCTTGAAGATTACCCGAAGTGTGAGCCTAAGGCCTTGCCAAGCCTTTCCTTAGCAGGGCCACAGACCTGGCATTATCACATTCAAGATTATCAGGAATATGTCCCAGTTTTTCAAAGCCCTCTGGACTCTTCATTCCACTACTGGACTTTTCTTTCCTTTTAAGCTTTAGTGTATCTATTGTTTGCCCTAACTGTATCAATTGCCTTAAAAACCAGTATGTTCAACAGCTGTCTCTACAATTTTCAACCAACAACCCAAAGGAGAAGGCTGATCATACTACAGAAGTTCAGAGTCTAAGTCAATAGTCTAAGTGAGGTCTTGGGTGCAGTGGCTTACACCTGTAATTCCAACACTTTGGGAGGCCAAGGTGGGTATATCACTTGGGGCTAGGAGTTAGAGACCAGACAGGCCAACATGGAGAAACCCCATCTCTACCAAAAATTAAAAAAAAATTAAAAAAAAATTAGCTGGGCTGTGGTGGCGCAGCACCTGTAGTCCCAGCTACTCAGGAGGCTGAGGCACAAGAATCGCTTGAACCCAGGAGTTGGCAGCTGCGGTGAGCTGAGATCACAGCACTGGGGTCCAGCCTGGGTAAAAGGGCAAGACTCTGTCTCAAAAAAAAAAAAAAAAAAAGGGTGGGTCTTGCAGGTCACCACCAACAGGTCAAATAATATCAGTTCTCTAAAAATGGGCCTTTCTTCCTCCTCCAGTAACTGCCAGACTACTGTTTAAAAGAAAAAAAAATTTTTGAGTCAGAGTGTTGCTCTTGGTTGAAGTGCAGTAGCATAATCATAACTCACTGCAATCGTGATCTCCTGAGTTCAAAGGATACTCCCACCTCAGCCTCAAGTAGTTGGGACTACAGGTGCATACCACCATGCTCACATAATTTTTTAACTTTTTTAGAGATAGGGTCTCACTATGTTGACCAGGATGGTCTCAAACTCCTGGCCCCAAGTGATCCTCCTGGCCAAGCCTCCCAAACCACTAGGATTACAGGCATGAGCTGCTGTTATCTTCCGTGACTGCTCCTTTTTTTATATTTGTCAGATGTCAGTTTTTAAGGCTAACGTACAGCTTGGGAGGAGTGGATGTAAACAGCAAATTAAAAGGGCACAATCTCACCAATATCCAGTACCCCCTCTATTGCTACAATCATTTAGTTTTCAGAGTGCTGAAAAATGTTACTCTGATAATTTTTTAACCATTGTTCTCATTATTTTTATAAAAGAGAAGTTTTTCAGTGTTCTTTACTCTGCCATTTTCATTGCTGTACTCTAATCATTCCTAATTTCAGGAAAGCTTTCTTCCATAACTTTCTGTCATATTAATTGTTTTCTTCTTTTCTGTATCTAAGTTTGCCTTCTGTTTCTCATGTCTGCTAATCTTGTCCATAATCATTTTTACGTCTGTTTTTTCATCATTTCATTTTGGCAATTTTCTAAAGCCCAATCAGAAGGTCTCCAGTCATATTAATACTAATCCACATTTATTTTAATTGCTGCTTTTATAGTCTCTTTTACCTTGATAATGTTATTTCTCTGTTCAGCTTCTTTCCTAAATTCCAACCGTTTGATTTCTATCTCCTTTGATTAGCTTATCTCCTTTGAAACACTGCGCATGTGCTTTAAGATTTTCTAAATACATTTTAGAGTTCCTACATAAAAATCATTAGTTTTTGAAAGTCTTATGAAAAAACACGTTTCAGAAATTTATCAAAACTTAAAACAACCTATCTCCCTAAAATATCTTTATTCACTTTTCAGAAATCATCCCTTGTAGATATACATTTTTAAAATTCTTGCATTTGGTACCATTTTGCCAAATGGTTTTACAAAACAAAGCAAAACTAGTAGGTAGCTTAAAACATATATATATATATTTAGATATATACGTCTAATAATGAGTTATAGAACAGAAGGATAAGCAAAATTAATATATGCAATGTGTATATACAAAAAATATAAAATAATTACAATAAACAACTACTTTACCAGCCCTATTCTGCTCTAATAGCCACTAGAATCATTAAACAAATCATCAAACTGTATTGATCCATAGGCTTTCTGCTTTAGATATGAGGATTGGGCTTCATTTATTCATTTAATCACTGAATGTTCACTATGACCAAAGTCATAATTTATTAGAAACACCAGGTAGATTGCTAAAACAACTAACTAGATGCCCTTTGGATGAGACATGATATGCACAAACGTTCAGCTATAAAGTTCACCTAAGTGTTCACTCAACAAATATTTTATACCAAATATGCACAGGTTTGAGGGGGACCTGTCCTTAAAGATGATATAATCAACTTAAAAGCCAATAGTAACATCTATACTGTAAAGAGTATATAAAGAGGTCATGTTGATCTCAATAGCACTTAGGGTGTAACAGTGAGCACTTTTGTGCAGATATACTACTGTGATACCATAGAGGACTCTCTCATCATTTTAAATGAGATATTCAGAGGAGAAAAACCTGCTACTAAAGACAGAAATAAGCTCTTAAATCCAGTAACATATTTTAGATTGTAAAGTGTACTTAAACAATGTTTTAAAACCTTTAATCTATGTATTAAATAACTATATTAAAGAATGTAAAAGATATTACCAACTCTCATAACATTATGGAAAGCATTAAAGCTTACTGTCAATGACAGTATTCTCAGTATTCTCTATATTAATATAAAATCAGACCGTACTTCCTTTATATACTTTAAGAAAAACCTGTCAACCCTAAATATGTCCCCTTACCCTCAGCCCTACAGGATTTTTAATTACAAATGCAGCATGAGAGTAGATATTTCTTCTGGAAGAAACAAGAGCTAGCAAAAAAAAAATTGAAATAGCTAGATAAATTCAGCATATAAAAATATTTATTATTACATTTTCAAAGAGCTAAACACCACCTTACTCCCCCTTTTTTTGGGCACACCAGGTTATAAACCGAAGGTCAAAAACTGTAAATTATTAATCTTAAATATTTAAACACTTCATAGAATAAGTTTTTACACACAGAAATAAATGTTTATTAAATCAGTTGAATGAGGCTGTTTAAAATCATTAAGCAGGTTCAGAGGGAGGTAGAAAATTATCATTATCAGAAAACTAGGCCATAATGGTACACTTGATCATATAAGAGGTAAATGCCTACTCTCCCTGTGCCCACGAAAATGCCTGCACAACTCTTTTGCTGTGCTATGCTCAAAGACACAGGAAGAGGAGTGTAGGCGGTATTTAATATTAATGGGAATGCTCTAAACTAAATCTACACTATAAAACTTCATTCCAAAGACCGTAGTAATGAACTGGTCAATTAGGATAACTAAATTATTTAAATCAGCAGGTAAATGACACAATGATTCCGTAAGTTGTAACCATATTAACGTAGAAAATATACCTAGATATTGAAGTTAAAAATATTAGAGACACAGAGTCAGGGATTTTAGTAACAGAATGACTACAGCAGCTGCTGCATAAGCAAAAGTATGTCCAGTCATGTTCTGGTTGACAAAGTTATAAACACAATCAACAAAGCCAGCATCCCATGAGGATTAGTGAGCAAAACATAAAACTAGTACAATGTAAAATTTGAAATCAATTTCAAACCTAAATAAATTAGTGGTTGATGGTCTTGGTGAGACCACTGTATTTCAGAGAATTCACTAGATTTAACTCCAAAGCCAGTAATGAATTAAACAACAACAAAAAATCATTACTTAAAGAGAAAACGGACAATAAGGTAGAAAAAAAGGGGAAAGTGAAATGACTACATAATAAAAAGACTTTAAAAAAACTGATTACAAGTCTCAGGGATAAATCTGAAGGTGAGTAACAGACCAATCATACTTTGTATGATTTCATAAGACTCAATTCTGTTATTTTCATTTCTTATTCTTTCATCCTTATGTTCTATCCTAATATAGAAATAACTCTCTTCTGCACCATGTCACTTAATTACGGTTTATCTTCTGGGATGCAAACTAAGCAACAATGCATGTAGGTTTATCATTTCTACTTTAACTTTACAGAAGTTAAACTCAATAAAATTTCACCATTATTTATGTTAGAAAACACAGGTTTCAAAAACATTGCTTAAAATCACTGTACCCCATGACTTACACGAAATCATTAGGTAGTCCTCACAGCTGGCTTTGTCATTATCTTGCTGGTCCACTGAGATCCCGCTGGCATCTATGACTGCTTCAGGGGCACAGTCTGCTACCAATACTTCTTCTGAAACTATGTCACTCGTCAGAGGATCAGTAATGATTTCTGCTTCCACTACACTATCATGCACCATATGTTCAACATGTCCAATGTCACACACATGCATGGATTCACTCGTTAAAACATGTTCTGGCATAGACATTGAGGTTGAAGTAATGTCAGAAGCTAAAACATCATCTGGGACTGTGCAGTGTGGTAAAGAAACTTCTTCAGTTACATCTGAGTCCAGCACTTGCTCAGGAATGATGACATTTTCAGATACATCTGCCTCTTCTAAGATATCTGAGCACTGAACATCCTCCTCTATGACAACATCTTCAACAACATCTTGGATTACAACTGAGTCTGGGTCATCAGGAACAAAGTTATGCACAGTTATGTCAGAATCCACAATATTAGAAACAAAAACTGCTTCTTGTATTTCCACAACAATCTGATCACCATCCATGTGTGTAGCATCAGCTCCTTAAAGAATAAAAATTAAAATGACAAATCTCAGGTAAGTATACATGACTAAATATAGTTTTTATTTAATTTCTTCTGGGAAAACAGACTATGTCCTTGGTGTTCCTCAAACATTGAGACAATAAATAAGAGAATGAATCCACTTTTGATTCACTTAACAAACAAATTTTTAACATAAAAATTTATTTTACTCAACCCTAATCAACTAACAAGAAAAGAAATACAAAAGTAAAAAAGAAATATAAAATCAACTAACAAGAAAAGAAAAATAAAAAAAACCTTGGGGCAATGACAGAAAAAAACTATTTGTGAAATACTTTTAAAACATCAAGATAAAAAATTTCTCACCCCACTAAAATAAAATCTTGAGATTTTTATATAAGTTAAACAACAAATTCAGAAAACAAATATACTATTTCTTCATTACATGTTTCATTCATTTCTCTTCCTTCTTTCATCATCTCCTTTCTTAACACATTACTTTTTTTTTTTTCATTATACCTACATATCTCGTTTTTACCCTTTCTTTTTTCTCTTTCAGCCCTTATAATCTTCCCACTTTGTCCTGGTGCAATATCCCATCAATATCCACTATAACTTTGGTAATTAGAAAGTAATTCTTTGAATCTAAGACAAAAGAATCAGGGTAGAAATTAAAAGAGGAATAAAAAGAGGAAAGACATTAGGTTTAGAGGTTTCTATAGATAGATAAAATGGGCTGGGCTGGGTGGTGAAGGGTGGGGGTGGTTGGAGTGGGGCCTGCCCTAATTTTGCCAGGGTATTCCACCTCCATCTATCCTCCTCCTGTTCCCACTAACCCCAAATCCCAAGGTAGTTCCTCAGAATATATAAAAGCATTTTCTAGTGCTGGGTGCAGTTAAGCAATGAAGGTAGAAGGGTGAGAGCCAGTTAAAGCCCACTGAGATCAAATGACTTAACCAAGATCACACAACTTGCACAGCACATCATGCTCAGTAAATATTATTCTAAATGAACACCACAAATAGGAAGAGAATTCATACAACTTTAACAAAAATATAACCTAATATGAAACAAATCAGGCATTATGGCTACTAGTGCATAGAGAAAAGCAAACATGGATGACTATTAAAAGCTATTCACGTATCACAAGCAGTTAAGATTTCTCTTTTTCCTTCTGCACTCTCACTACCTCACCGGATTTTTCTTAAAAAAAAAAAAAAAAAGAAAAGGAAAGGAAAAAAAGGCTATTTATCTGATTAGTGTTTCTGATTGTAACTCAGAGTAAGCTGAGTCCAAGTGGGTGCACAACTCGGTGATTGTGTACCTGTGGCAAAGCCCTCAAATAAACACACAGCTTCTTCAACAAAAATGATCACCAAGGGCAAACCAACAATAGATGTTGCAGGAAGTCTTTAAAGTAGTTAAAACCTACTTAACTTATATGTTGAAAGAATGTTTGCTTTTATTTTTATACATCTTCTACAAAATGTTTTCTACTCATTTGTCTTCTATGTTCATAATAATAGACAGCAATAGAACAGTGTAATCCCCATTGCACAGATATAAATTTGATAGCATTTAGTGGCAACAGCACTGGTTATAATGGTCTAAATCAGAGGGCAAAGTGTAGATACTTAATAGTTTTGTGACCTTGGACCAAGTCATCTAACCTCTGAGTTCAGTTTCCTCAACAGTAAAATGATGTCAGTAGTATCTGTCATGCGCACCTCACAGGACTATAGTGACCAAATGCGAATGCATGGTAAGTGTCCTGAAAAAAATGTAATCAGATGTTTCATTATTATCATGCATATGAAAATGGGAGCTTGGGCAGATTACATGACTTCCTCAAATTTAAAAAAAATACCATTTCAAGTGTTAACAATCAAGGCTAAAATGCAATAGCCCTTCAATCTACCATTTAGCCCTGACTCAGGCTTGATTGTGGCAAGATTACACTAAAAAATACTGAGTTTTCCCTAAGAACTTAGTCTCTCTTTCAAACAAAAAATCTGAAAGGGTGGTGCAGACTGGTGTTAAAAACCTGGCCACAAGCAACCCTCTTGCTGTGGCCTCCCAAAGTAATTATATTTCACTATGTTCCAGAGAAAGAAAGAATTATAGGTCTGCATTTACCATTAACAACCTGAAAGTACTTAACGGTGAGTCAAAAGAATATCCTAAATTGCTTAGCAAATATACGCACACACACAAAATTTAGAAGGTATATTTAAAATTCCTTACGTTTCTTGGTAAAGTTAATTACTATTGCTAATATATGGCAATGTTCATTTAAAATTCAGTTAATACAATCATTAAAATTTTAACTTAGAGTATGAAACAGAAAAATAAAATCTAGTTTAATTATAGCATTATGTATTTAGAACCATGACCAATCTGAAATTGAGAATACTTTTTTCCCCCTCTTGTTTAGGTATAATTTTCTTTTTGCAGTTTTGGAAATGAGGTAAGGATGCATCTGCATGATATAGAGGCTCCTTTTGTGAACATGTGAAAGGGTTACAAAAGTTCGAACAGAATCAATTCCAGAGGACCTGGGATTTATAGTTTATTTCCTGGGCAGTAGAAAGGTATGATCCACATGTTTTTCGGGACTGAATATTCTACCACTAGGGTAGGTGAAAGAAAGAAACCAAGAGTGAAAAAAGAGTCTTAATATTATCAGTTAAGAATGAGATAATAGGGCCTATATGGCCCTAGGAACTAGCATGAAGAAAAAGCTGTGTCATAAGCAGACTTCTCTCAGCACCCCAGACAATCTACACCCCACCATATGCCCCACCAACCAAATCCCCAAGATGTTTATTCTCTAATCACTAGAACTTATGAATATATTATGTTATGACTTATATACCACATGGGCAGTGCAGGTAAAATTAAGGTCATGAACTTTAAGAATAATTTGTTAAGCACAATCCGCTCAGATAAAACTTAAAAGCAGAGGGCTTTTTATGTCTGGAGTTGGAAAGTTGAAGCAGAATCATAAATTGAAAAGATTTTATGTATGAGAGAGATCGAATTAGCCTTGCCTACAGTGGCCACATGGAAAGCATAAGAAACAACACAGATTTTGTCAAAAGGAGCAAAGACTAGCCTGTTAGCTCACAACCAGCACATAAATGGGGACTTCAGTCCTATAGCTACAACGAACTGCATTCAACCAATGACCTGAATAACCTCAAATTGGGTGCATCCAGAGAACAATGAAACTGGATTCACCAGAAAGGAACAAACCTCTGGCAATACCTTATGAAACTAGCTGCACCATGATAGAATTCTGACCTACAGAAACTGTGAGACAATAAATTTGTTTTGAACTGCTGAGTTTGTGGTAATTTTCATTGCAGTAACAGAAATAATTTCAGATTTTGGTGTCGAGAAGTGGAGAGCTGCTTATACAAATACCTAAAAACGTAAAGTGGCTTTGCACTTGGATAGGTGCCAGCTGTAAAATTTCTTACAAGAATAAAGAGAAATTCCAGCTCTTAGGAAAATGAAAAAAAAAATTATTTTTACAGAATGAAAAGCTTAGATTCTGTTGAGTGGAAAAAAGCCTAGATTTCCTTAAATAAACCAATAAGTAAAAACATGAATGTTAAAAATAACAGGCCGGGCACAGTGGCTCATGCCTGTAATCGCAACACTTTGGGAGGCTGAGGTGGGAGGATAGCCTGAGCTCAGGAATTCAAGATCAGCCTGAGCAGTACAGCAAAACCTCATCTCTATTTTAAAAAATTCCCCAGGCATGGTGGTGTGTGCCTGTAGTTCCAGCTACTCAGGAGGCTGAGGCGGGTGGATCACTTGAGCCCAGAAGGTTGAGGCTGCAGTGAGGAGCCATAATCATGTCACTGCCCTTCAGCCCTGGTGACACAGTGAGACCCTATCTCAAAAACAAAAAAAAAAAACCAGTAACAACTCTGCCAGTGAGAATCCAGAGGGAGAAGGGATCAAGGTAGAGAAATCCTACATGGACTCAGAGAATACCTACGTCATGTATGACTGCTAGTAGAAATCTGGAGTTTTGTAACACTGCTTGTAAGGGCTTAAAAGTGAGTTTCTATCTGAAGGAAAGAAGAGCTTTGTTACATAAAAAGACAGACCACTTAGCAAAACTGTCTCCCTGGGTTATGTGGAAAGCACAACTTGAAGACAAACCACTTAGCAAAATTGTCTCCCTTGGTTATGTGGAAAAAACAACTTGTAAAAATCAACTCTTTAGCTCAGAAGATTTCAGCAAAGTGTTGGACAAGTGGTCTTGTTTCTACTTAATGCTTAGAGTAAAATTCAGTGAGAAAAATGAATAGTTGGAATATTTATTAAACAAAAAGATAGCAAAACATGACAAAATCAGAAGTTTTCTGTCCATCTTGGGGGCGGGGGGGGGGTGGGGGTGAAAGGGGAGGTTAAATTAAGGAGATTCCTTGTCAGAGCAAAGCCTCATCTGTATTTACAGCCACTTCCCATCACCGGCATCACTGCCTGAGCTCTCGCCTCCTGTCAGGTCAGAAGCAACATTACATTCTCATAGGAATGCAAACCGTACTGTAAACTGCACACGTGAGGGATCTAGGTTGCATGTTCCTTATAAGAATCTAATGCCTGATGATCTGTCTCCTACCCCCAGATGGGATGGCATAGTTTCAGGAAAACAAGCTCAGGGCTCCCACTGATTCTAAATTATGGTGAACTGTATAATTGTTTCATTATATATTACACATAATAATAATACAAATGAAGTGCACAATAAATGTAATGCACTTCATTCATCTAGTAACTATCCCCCGAACCCCACTACTCCCAGGTCTCTGGAAAAATTGTCTTCCATGAAACCAGTCCCTGGTACTCAAAAAGGTGGGGAACGCTGATTTAGAGAGAGAGAAAAAAACAGTATGTGATTCTCAACTATTCCATGAACCCTCAGAAAAAACAAAAGATTCCTTCAGGCACCCGATCATTAAACAAGAAAAGTAAAAGTTAAGGAAAAAGGAAAGAAAGGGAAAAGCCAAGGTGAAAGAAAAAGAAAGAGGAAAGAAAAAGAAAAGGCAAGGGGTAAGGAAAGGTAAGGTAAGGTAAAGTAAAGTAAGGTAAGGTAAGGTAAAAAGAAAAAGGAAAGGAAGTGGAGGGAAAGGAAAGGGAAAGATCAAAAGGCCAGAGAATTAAGTCTTTTTCAAGCAAGTAAAAGTGTGACTTACACATACCCAACACCTCTAAGAAATCTAAGGATATTGGACTTCAACCATTTTAGCAGAAGTCAAAAACAGACATGGGATAATCTCAGAAAAAAAATATATTAGCCTCTTGCCTAATACAATAAATCCCCATGACACACGCAAAATTTTTTTCAAAAGAAGCACTGCTAGCTTAAACGGAAAGGGACACAGAATCAATATAATGAAGACAGTTGGACTGACAGAATTCCAGAGGCAGGAAGCAGGAAATAAAACTATTCAGCTGCAAATACCTGCTATCTTTGAAAAAAATGGCAAGGAAGACTCAAAGGGCGGAGCCACAGGCCAAAAAGGATTATTCCCAGGTCTTGAAACCTAATGGGAGTTTGTCCAGCTGCATTTCAAAATTTCTTCAGACAAATTTCTCTTACCTTTCATGTCACCCTGTTTGAACCAGAATATCCCAAACTGTCCTACCACTGTACTTTGGGAAGCAGATAAAGAGGAATTATGTCCCAGGAGTTGCACTTAATGACTGATACCCAGAGAATAAGCATCTGATTTAAATGATACTTAGGACTTCTGAGCTGATTAATTTCAGGTAAGATTTTTTTTTTTTGGACTGGGAACTTTAAGAGAGGGTGGATGTTATTTTACATTTGCCAGAGACATATTTGAGAACCGGGGTGAAGATGGTGGCAGGGAGAATGGTCCTTTCACAAAGATGTCCATAAACTAATCCTTATAAATCTTGAAAATATGTTACTTGATATGGCAAAAGAAATTTTTCAGGTATAATTAAGATTATGAACTTAAAATTGGGCAATTATCTTGGATTACCCTGGTGCATCAAATCTAATCATGTGAGCTCTTAAACTGAATAGTTTTCTGGCTAGATTCAAGAAGACGGATGTGATAGAGGGGAAGATCAGAAAGACTAAAAACATAAGATGGACTCCACTCACTGCTGCTTCAGGAAACCACCATGCAAAGCATGAGAAGAAATGTGGGCAGGCTCTGAAAGCAAAAAATGGCCCTGGATGATGAACTGTAGGGAACAACAGTATCTCCATTGTGCAACAAAAAGAAACTAAATTTGGCTAAAAGTATGGATATTCTTCGAAGTCAAGAGCCTCCAGCCCTGCAGATAGCTTATTTTATTTATTTATTTATTTATTTATTTATTTATTTATTTATTTATTTTTTGAGACACTGTCTTGTTCTGTTACCCAGGCTGGGGTACAGCTGTGCCATTATAGCTCACCACAGCCTTTAACTTCTGGTAAAACAATCCTCCTACCTCAGCCTCCAGAGCAGCTAGAACTAGAGATATGCACCACCATGCTCAGCTAATTAAAAAAAAATTTTTTTTTCTGTAGACACAGGTTTCCATTGGGTTGTCCACCACCCACGATGGTCTCCAATTCCTGATCTCAAGCAATCCTCACAATTGAGCCTTCCAAAGCAATGAGATTACAGATGTGAGCCACCACACCTGGCCAACATCTTAATTTTAACCTTGTATAATTCTACACGCAGAACTCAATTGAGCCACATTTCTGACCTATAGAACTCTGAGATAAATTTGTCCTGTTTTAGATTAGTAAATTTGCTGAAATGTACCAATAGAAAAATAGAAAACTAGCACAAACAGAAAACATTTCAAAGGGAGAACTAGCAGGCTTTAGTTGCATAACTGGAAAAACTGGAATAACTGAAGGGTAACAGTAAGATTTTGATATTGATGGCTTAACTAACAAGATTATGAGTTGGCTATGAGATTCTGACAGGACCTAAGTATGGACCTAAGTACCTAAATATGGATTAACATCAGATTCTGCAATTTTGGTAAGTAATTCAAAATCTGGCAGATGGGAAGTGAAACAACCCAATAAATAGTAATACCTATTCCATCAAAAAATGAGTTTGGCTCTTGTGGCTGCAATTCAAATTCATCTTCATCCATGGCCTTTAATTCTCATTAGTCACAGCTCCTAAACCAGGGAATAAAGTATACCAAACATTAATTTTTATATCACATATTAAAATGTCATGATATTCACATTTCTGAAATGCTCAAATTATTTTTTACTAAGCTATCAATGTAAAATTAAAGGGAACAAATTGATTTCCAGGGATACATGGGCTGCAACAAGACAGGAAAGGGCAGGTAGATCAAATCAGATTGACAGTGTTTCTGTTTTTTTGTTTTTTAAAGATTTTGGGTCTTGCTATGTTCCTCACACTAGCTTAGTATTCCAGGGCTCAAGTAATTCTTCCTCCCTCAGCCTACTGAGTGGGTGGGACTACAGGCCGCCATATCTGGCTTGTTTAGATTTTTTAAAAAGTTCAATTATCATCTTATATAAAATTCACAATGCTTAAGTATTTAGCATAACAAATTTTTACCTAAGTGTTAACTGGAATTTGCATTATTTATGTTAAGTACGTAAGTGTTAACTGGTACTTGCATTATTTATATTAAGATAACAGAACATTTCTTACACACCAGATGACTCCCTCTTGCCTTCTATCAGTAACCCCCATGATTTTTTTTTTTTTTTTTGTAAACAGGGCCTCTGGCTCTGTCATACAGGCTAAACTGTAAGTGGCACAGTTCACTGCAGCCTCAACTTCTCAGGCTCAAGCAATGCTCACCCCTCAGCCCAACTACTTGGGACTACAAGTATGTGTCACCAAACCTGGCTAATTTTTAAAGTATCTTTTTGTATAGACAAGGTCTAACTATGTTGCCCAGGCTGGTGTCAAAGTCCTGAGCTTGAGCAATCCTCCCACCTCAGCCTCACAAAGTACTGGGATTACAGGAATGTTATTGTGTCTGGCACCCATGATTAACTCTCAACTTTAACACATTCTGTAGGTTTTTGCTGCAAGACTGTATTACATCTCTATATTTAACATAGTCTCCAGTCTTTCTACAGTAAATTAACAAAATGGTAAAAAACTCAAAATTCCTAATAATTATAAGCACTCCTCAGATTTCTGTGTAGCTTAAAAGCCCTCCCCATTCTCTCCCCTCAGAGACAGGGTCTCACCCTGTCACCCAGACTGGAGTGCAGTGGCATGATCATGGCTCACTGCAGCCTCCAACTCCTAGGCTCAAGTAATCCTCTTACTTCAGCCTCCCAAGCAGCTAGGACTAATGACACATGCCACTATGTCCAGCTCCCTTACTGTATTTTTAGCACATGCTATGGTCACTTATGTGTGTCAATTTTCAAATATTAAACTATATGATAAGGCAATATGCAAGTGAGAAACCAATGGATTTCCAAAGTGTTTCTCTGAAACAGATCTACTCAATTTAAAGAAAGTGTGTTTTATGACATTCAAACTGCTTCAAATAAAAAGGCCATGATGACTACACTAATATTTTGTCAACCACAGAAAAAGAAAAAGGGCACCTGCTCTAAATAAGCTGTCACTGCTCCCTCTACCCAAACAATCTCTGGCTTCATTAATTTTTCCCCTCTTAAAAAAATGTAATTATAAAATTATAAATGCAAACTAATCTTCTCTGCATAATTAAAGAAAACCACATGAAATTAAGGCAATGAATGATGGAATAAATGTGATTTGTTGGATTATTGAAGTGACCTTCCAATTTTCCTAAAAACAGCAATTTCATTAGTTCTAATAAAAGATCAACTTGTGGGCCAGGCATGGTGGCTCACGCCTGTAATCCCAGGACTTTAGGAAGCTGAGGCAGGTGGATCACAAGGTCAGGAGATCAAGACCACCTGGTGTCTTGACAGTACAGACAGTGAAACCCTGTCTCTACTAAAAATACAAAAAATTAGCCGGGCACTGTGACGGGCATCTGTAGTCCCAGCTACTCGGAAGGCTGAGGCAGGAGAATGGTGTGAACCCGGGAGACGGAGCTCGCAGTGGGCCGAGATCGTGCCACTGCACTCCAGCCTGGGCGACAGAGCGAGACTCCATCTCAAAAAAAAAAAAAAAAAGATCAACTTGTAGCGTAATTTTCCTGTTTCAGGTATTCATCTTCCTTACCTGTCTGTTAGAGTCTGATAGATGATCAGTTTCTTTAATTTTGAAACTCCCTCCTACCTCTTTGTTTATATGATATCTTAGTTCTCTTCTCACCTTCTTAACCGATGGCTACTATAGTCTTGTCCAAGGTTTCACATTCAGCTTTCCTCTCTACTACTTTCTCATTTATTTCCACAGTTTTTAATGACGACTTACGTGAAGATGATCCCCAAAATCCACACGCTGAGAAGGACCTAAAATTTCCATCAGACCGTTTACTGAACATCTTCAAAAATTAAAACCCAGATTTTTCCTGGCACAATCACTATGGCCTTTTCCTCCTTCCCTGACAGTTGGTTTCTCAGATCTTGTCAATTTCTTCTCCACAATTTCTCTGTTATGTTTGCCCTGCTTGTATTCCCATTATCACCAATCACTCTAAGCTTCCTATTTTCTGATCCCTAGAAATGAAAATAGTTTCTGAAATGGCCTTTGTAACACTTCCAAAACAAATGACTAGGAAACCTATTATAAGAAGGGGGTCTTGTAATGCCAACTAACAAGGCATTCCTACAATCTGTAGCCAGATGAATCTTCTTGAAGCACTGCTTTGATCACTCCCTTACCAAGAAGCAGTCTCCAATATTCAGTGACCTCCACATTATTAACCCAAGCTACCACATGACTTATTTACTGTTATTACTCAACTTTGCAACCTAGCTGGACAGCATGTCATTCTTCAAACGATCTTTATGTTTTTACCCTGGCACTCAACATCCTAGAATTTTCTAGGAGGTGAGGTCTTGAAAAAGTGGAGCTATACCTAGTCAACTGTCATTAGCAGGGTCAATAACTGCTAATATTTACAAATATTTATAAATGCAGGAAAATGTCACTATCAGTGACCTAGGGACATAGTGCTAGTGTCTCATGTATGTAACCAAACATCTGTGCCACAGATAGCTAAATTCTGGTTTAATCATTCTGAAACAGGCAATAAAGAGAAAAGAGCTCAAACAAGTGAGAAACCAACCACGAACTGCTACATTCTAGGACTCTATTCAGCACAACACCTACAAACTCAAAATCTTGAATGAAAGAGGGTTAAGTATAATTTTACGTCATATACATATCCCTACTATGTACTTGAGCCTATGATAAGGGCTGACCACCAATCCAATCTTCACTATAGTGAGCAATCATTCTTCAACAACACATTTGACTGATTATTGTCCTATTTTATCACGGCGAAAACTGACAGAGGCACAAGAGGTTCTTTTGCACTTCACTGTAAAGATGACCACACCTTTACGTTAGTAAGCTTTCTTGGGTTACAAATGCCAATTTCTTCCTACAACCAGAACAAAACCATGCTCTTAATGGTAATAATATTAACACAATTTTGATAAGGTGAAAAATAAGTTCCCATGATTTCACAGTAATTTCCCATGCCTTTGTAGTAAGAACCAAGCTTAGAGATCAGCTGAATTGGAAGACAAATAAGCAGAATGATCCAGAGGATCCACTCTGAAAAATAATTTAGGCCTGGTGTGGTGGCTTAATCCTGTAATCCCAGCATTTTGAGGGACCACGGGAGGGGGATCACTGGAGTCCAGGAGTTCTAGACAAGTCTAGGCAAATAGTTGGATCCCTTCTCTACAAAAAAAATTAAAAATTAGCTGGACGTCGTGGTGCACCTGTGGTCCCAGCTACTTGGGAAGCTGAGGTAGGAAGGATCATTGGAGCCTGAGAGGTCACGTAGCCATGACAGTGAGCTATGATTACACCACTGCACTCCAGCCTGGGTGACAGAGCAAGACAATGTCTCTATAAAAAACTGCAAAATTAGCCAGATGTGGTGGTGCATGCCTTCAGTCCTAGCTACAGTGGTATGAAGATGAGAAAACAACTAATAGCTAGTAAACCAAAAAAGGAGAAATAAAGCAATGTAAAGTAGAAAACCATTCTACAAACATATATATGAGTGTGTGTTTGTGTGTGTATGTGTATATATATGGGTTTTTTTGGTGTTCTTTTTTTTTGAGACAGGGTCTTGCTCTGTCACCCAGGATGGAGTGCAGTGGTGTGACCATGACTCACTACCGCCTCGACCTCCCACGCTCAAGCGATCCTCTCATCTCAGTCTCCAGAGTAGCTGAGACTACAGGCACTTACCAACATGCCTGGGTAATCTTTTTTTTTTTTTTTTTTTTTTTTTTTTTTGTAGACATGAGGGTCTCAGTACATTGACCAAGCTGGTCTTTCACTCCTGGCCTCAAGGTAACTGCCTGTCTCTGCCTCCAAAGTGCTGGGATTATAAATGTAAGCCATCACAGCCAGCAATATTGCTAAAATAATCTCGATAAAGGCTCTTGAAAATTTATTAGCTTTCACAAGTAATGTAAGAGTGCCTATTTCCCAAAAACTAATAAGCATCACAGACTTTAATTTTTTGGCCAGGTTGGGTGCCGTGGCTCACCCCAGTAATCCTAGCACTCTGGGACGCTAAGGCAGGTGGAATGCTTGAACCCAGGAATTTAAACCCAGCCTGGCCAACATGGTGAAACCCCATCTTTACAAACAATACAAAAATTAGCCAATCATGATAGTGGGTACCTGTAGTCAGTTATCTGGGGTTTGAGGAGGGAGAACTGCTTGAGCCCAGGAGGTTGAGGCTGCAGTGAGCCATAATCTTGTCACTGTACTCCAGCCTGGGCAACAGAACTAAACTGTCTCAAAAAAAGGAAAAAAAAAATGTGACTGTGCATGGTGGCTCACACTTGAAATAGCAAAGGCAAGAGGATCGTTTGAGGCCAGGAGTTCAATACCAGCTTGGGCGACAGAGTGAAACTCTTTCTCTACTAAAAAAAAAAAAATTAGTTGGGTGTGGTGGCACACCCCTGTAGTCCCAGCCATCAAGAAGGATGAGGAGAGAGAATGGCTTGAGCCTAGGAGTTTGAGCTTGCAGTAAGCTATGAAGCTTTTTAATACCCTGTCTCAAAAAAAGAAAAAGTAATAATAACTTCTAACCCCCTTACTGAAAACAAACAAACATTTATATCCAATGTGTTTTTTCTGGAAAGTCTGCTTGTGCATTTCATACATCTCTCTATCAAGTTTCATCTCACTGATGTGATGTTATGCGTGTTGATAATGTTATGTGATCTATTGTTATACTTCTATTTATCCATCATATATTTAAATTTTTTAAGCAACCCCATCAGATTTTGATTGGAACTGCATCAATCTACACTGATCAATCTGAAAAGAAATAGCATCTTTAAAATATTAACTTTTCTACTCCATATCTATTCTTTAATTTAGGTCCTCTTAGATTTAATATATGAATATGTGAGAAAGATTGTTTCATTACATTTACTTCAAAGCACTGGATGTTAGCCTGCTATAGGCTTCTTTAATAAAGTCAGAAATAAAAGTCAAATGTTAGTCTTTTTAACTTGTATCCATGTTTGTTTTAATTTATTCTAACTTCACCCATTTTTAAAAGGTGGCATAATTTGTTAGATGCAAAAATCTGTTAAGCCCTTTGTATAAACCAACTATTTAATTCACCAAAAGTAGTAGGTATGACCAACCCTATTTTCCAATTAAGGAAATTGAAGCTTAAAATGCTAAGAAGGCTGCTCAATGACACACTATGGCAAAAGAAGATCTTTCATTTATGGTGTCAAACCACCAAGTCTATTGTTTGTCTCAGTACTCCGTATCATAATCTGTGACTTCATTCCATTTTATTCCTCATGTAAATTTCAACTACTTATTTTTTAATCTTTTAATTCCTTATTCTCTAGTTTCAGTTGTTTCACAATATCTTCATTTAGTCTACTTTAACTTATCTGAATGTTCATTATCTTAGTCTCAAGAGTTTTATGGTTGCAGAGGAAAACAAAAGTCCTAAGAATGAACATATTTAGCATGTTACTTACTAGTCTCTAAAGTAGTACTTGCACACATTTAGGGAATGGATGTAAAAAGACAAAAATCAAAACTTTTGTTTTTATATATTGTAACATCTCATCCTTTAAATGTCTACCTTGTATGTTTAAAAACAAGTAATAGTTTAACAAGATACGTGAATAAGAAAAACTGGAGATTACTCAACTAAAAAATGCAAACACTCCTCCCTTTATAAACTGTAACTGCTTCCCACTCAACACATTGTCTTTGTTAATCAGTCTGAATGGCAAATACAGCAACATGATGACAATACAAAGTAATTACAAAGCAATTATGTTGTAAGATGAAAAATGTAAATCCTACAATATATGTATAAAAAACTGGTGAATGTGAAAAAAAAATGTTCAATCACAGTCATGGCCATTGGCTTAAACATAGATCTCCCTTTATAACTGTAGAAAGAAATTATAACTGTAGAAAGAAAAACACAACTGTAAGCTCGGAAGCTATTTTTTTCCAAAGGAGAATTATGTGAATATCAAGACCTGCAACAGCTCTTAGAAAACTGACAAAGCCCTTGAATATATTTTCTTTATTATCATGCAGTGCGTTTCAATGAAAATACCATTACTGTACTATCACACAATTTTGTCAGCCAAAACAGAATCCACCATTTAATTCATTCTGTTCATTCAAATAATTAGTACACAGGATTACAATTACATCTGATTTTTGAAAGATGAAACAAATTCATAATGTTTATTTCATCTATAGAAATAAAATCTCAAGCTACTTTGCACCGTATTATAAAACTTTTATCCTGATTTTCCATGGTCCAACTTTCTTCCATATCAAAATACTCAGAAAACATTAATATGGCGTGTTATACACATTTCTTTGATATCACTGTAATGCTTTTAACTTCTATTTAGCTTTCCTCAAAATTTTTTTTTTTTGAGACGGAGTCTCACTCTTTTTGCCCAGGCTGGAGTGCACTGGCGCAGGCGCAATCTTGGCTCACTGCAACCTCCACTTTCCAGGTTCCAAGCAATTCTCGTCTCAGTCTCCTGAGTAGCTGGGATTACAGGTGCCCGCCACCAAGCCCAGCTAATTTTTTTTCGTATTTTTTTTTTTTTTAGTAGAGATGGGGTTTCAGCATGTTTGGCCAGGGTGGTTTCAAACTCCTGACCTCAGGTGATCCACCCGTTTCAGCCTCCCAAAGTGCTGGCATTACAGGCAGAAAGCCACTGTGCCTGGCCCAAATATTTTTAATTTAATATATCCTATTTATCTTAAAAATTCATCTTTTTTTTTTCTTATCTGCTACTCCACTCAACCAATCTTTTCAAGATAAAGCAAATTTTAAACTTCCCTTTTTTTCCTGGCCACCAAACCCTATCTTCAAGTAGAAGTTTAAATAGAAAATAAACACACTGATTTTCTACTGCCTGAAATCAAGTAACTGGGTTTAACATTAAAACAAAATAACTGAAAAGACGTAAGTAGAAGCAATTTATTTATAAGCTGTTGTTTAAAAAGATGGTGAGATAAAATCATTCAGTAAAATAAAAAGTCAGAAAAGAGATGGGAACTCATATGAAATATTGGCAAACAGACAACATAAAATACAATGGAAAAAGATTTAAAAATATTTCCTAAATAAGAGATTAAACACACCTGGAAATGATACTCACTCAATGGGTTATGTTTAAAATCCTCCTTGTGGCCAGCCAGGGTGGCTCATGTCTATAATCGCAGCACTTTGGGAGGCCAAGGTGATTGGATTGCTTGAGCCCAGGAGTTCAAGACCAGCCTGGGCAACATAGTGAGATCCCATCTCTTTAAAAAAAAAAACCTCCTTGCATGCCTTTGTTAATAGGAGATTAAAATTAAAACCATTACATATTCTAGTTTTTTAAAAAATTATACAATTTTTATAAGAGGTAGAAAAAGATTTTTAAAAAAGGCATTTTAACAAACAAAAAAGCCAGAAATTAGCCAAAACACATTTTAAGACAAGAATCATCATCAGTGTTGAAATACATCATGTCTTAATGTTAAAAAGAAAATAGTGACATAATATGCAATAGTCCTAAACACAGGCACCTAACAATACAGCCCAATAAATAAATACATACATTTGAAAACAAAGGGAAAAACTTAAATAATTCAGGGGTAACAAGTAAAATATTTATAGAGGCTGGGTGCAGTGGCTCATGCCTCTAATCCCAGCACTTTGGGACGCTAAGGTGGGAGGATCACTTGAGGTCAGGCGTTAGAGACCAGCCTGGCCAACATGGTCCTGGCCAATATGGTTAAACCTCATCTCTACTAAAAACACACAAAAAATCAGCCCGGTGTGATGGCATGCAACTACTTGGGAAGCTCAGGCACAAGAATTGCTTGGACCTGGAGGCACAGGTTGCAGTAAGCCGACATCGTACTACTCCACTCCAGCCCGGGCAACAGAGTGAAATGCTGAGTCAAAAGAGGGGAGGGGAGGGGAGGGGAGCAGCTTTAATTGAACATACTGTAAAAAGTGAAATTAAATACAAATGTGCTAAGCCTCCTACATATGCACACACAGAAAACTGAAAAAAAAAAGGATAATAAACTCAAGCAAAAGGGAACAAAAGATATGGACAAAAAGCATCAACAAAAAAATTGCTTAAAAAATATAATCAAATTCCTATTTGGCAAGGAAAAATGGCAAAATGTAAAAAGCTTATCAGAAAAAAGCAAACTGACAGAATTATACATGTTTTATAAGTCATAAGATAAAACTATAAATATTTATATCCTATTTATAAACATATTTCTAGGACATTAAAAATTCTGTATAAGCAACAAGAACATACTCAAGAAAAGCCAAAGACATATCACCATGAAAGAAACTTTCAATAGATCAAATGTCAAAAAAATATTCATGGCCAGGCATGGTGGCTCACATCTGTAATCCAGCACTTTGGGAGACCAAGGCGGACAGATCACCTGACGTCAGGAGTTCGAGACCAGCATGACCTACATGGAGAAACCCCATGTCTACTAAAAATACAAAATTAGCTGGGCATTGTGGCCCATGCCTGTAATCCCGGCAACTCAGGAGGCTGAGGCAGGAGAATCGCTTGAACCCAGGAGGCAAAGGTTGCAGTGAGCCAAGATTGCACCACTGACTGCAACCTGGGCAACAGAACGAGACTCTGTCTCAAAAAAAAAAAAAAAAAAAAAAAAAAAAAATCATAAAAAGACTCCACGTACAAGTAAATATACAAAGAAATTCTAAGTTCAAAGAAACAATGAATCCCTTTTTAATAGGCAACCTGTGTCCAGAAAGAGAGAAACCCTCATTACGTGAGTTTAACATAACCTTATCAAACTGTGAAAGAAAAAAAATTACAGGACTGTAATTTTGTTTCTATTTTATTAGCATCTATGAGACTGTGCAGATAGGACTACAATAAGGCAATGTAAATATTAAACATCCAGGTGATTCAAAGAACGTTTAAAGTTAGAAACTCTGTTAACGCAATTAAGCACATTAATAAATTAAAGGAGAAAATCAACAGATGCAACCAAAGTTATCTTAAAAATTCAACTCCTCCTTTATATTAAAAAAAAAAAACTCTAAAATTGTGAATGGAAGGAAGCTTAAAGAATATCTTCCCAAGAAAACATCTTAACATCAGTATTTAAGGATAAAACACTGGAAGCACTTCTTTCAAAAAATCTAGACCACCAGAAAAGAAATCTAACATCACTCTTCACAGATAATATAATTGTACAAAAAATGCAAAAAAAATCGTTATTACTGCTAAATCTCACTATGTCTACATGCTCACAATTGTAGCATGAGCCTTTATATACCACTAAGAAAAAACATTCAAGTAAATTGATATACTGGAGTTCTTTTAGATTTATTCACACAGTTTTTAAAAATCATACACCACTCTTATGCATACATAGAAAGAACAATAACATCCAAAGGAAATTGGCTCAGGGTATTGATAAAATTTATTTGAATTCAGAGTGCTACTTTTACTCACTTTTCTATTCACTGCTGTTCAATGTCCTTATCTTTCTAACAATAGAGTCATCTTGATAACAACAGTGCCAACGATGAAGCATACTAAATTATCATCTCTAGAATATTCTTTCAAGTCAAAGACATCTACTTTCCAAGTTCTAATGCTAGTACTTTACCATTTGACAAGTCTGTTTCATCATTTCCCCTCAATTGAACCACGCTAATTTATGGTAAGGAACTGCTCTCCAAAATTAGAAAATATATAATAAACACATTACAACGCATTTGTACTCAACCTATGACCAATTAACCTCTGACTGAACCAAGGGCCAATCAAACCTGCCTCTGGCCATTTCCTTCAGCCAGGCACAGTGGCTCATGCCTGTAATCCCGGCTGAGCCTTTGAGAGGCTGAGGCAGGCAGATCACGAGGTCAGGAGTTCGAAACCAGCCTGGTGAAACGACATCTCTACTAAAAATATATAAAATATATATAATTAGCCAAGCATGGTGGTACACGCCTGTAATCTCAACCATTCAGGAAGCTGAGGCAGGAGAATTGCTTGAATCCAGGAAGCGGACATTGCAGTGAGCTGAGATCACGCCACTGTACTCCAGCCTGGGCAACAGAGCGAGACTGCTTCTTTAAATAAATAAATAAAAATTGCTTCAATTTATCCAAAGGAAATTTATTTTATTTACAGTTACACTGTTTGGCATGTATCAGCAACCTGATTAGTGCCAAAAATGGATGCAATTCATTTGAAGTGATAACAAAATGAACAACTTATAAATTGGAAAACTGATTATACAACTCTATCCATGGTAAAATACATTCAGATTTTAGAAGTGCTAAAATATGAAGATTTATACATCTCAGAAGCTATGAAATATGATCACGGAATTTTCAGCAAGGTTGCTGAAAGTCAATAGGATTTCTATTATAAATTACAACAACTGGTAAGTATAACTTTTTGAAATTGTTATTCATAATGGCAACAAAAGTCACACAACATCTTGGTATAGTTATCCAAAATTTTCCAAGATCTCTATAAAAAGCAATATTAATATATTGTAGGTATAGTATGTTAGTATAACCCCAGTGGAAAACTGTAAAGAGATTTCTCAAAGAACTATATTTATCATAGAGCTATTCACTGTTGCAAAGATATGGAAACAACCTATGTGTCCATCAATAAATGAATGGAGAAAGAAAATGTGGCACAGCTGGGGGCCATGGTTCATGTCTGTAATCCCAAGACTTTTGGAGGCTGAGACAGGAGGATCACCTGGACCCAAGAGTTCAAGGCCAGCTTGGGTAACATAGTGAAAAACTGCCTCTACCAAAAAGTAAACAAAAAAAGAAAAAAAAAAGAAAAATTTACGCAGGAATGGTGGTGTGCACCTGCAGCCCCAGCTACTGGGGAGGCTGAGGTGGAAGGATCATGTGAGCCCGGGAAGTCAAGGCTGCATTGAGCCATGATCAGGCACTGCACTCCAGCCTGGGTAACAGAAGTGAGACCCTGTCTCAAAAAAAAATTAAAAAAAAAAAAAAATAGCCCTGGCACTACAGCCTAGATAACAGCAGAGAGGCCCCGTCTCAAAAAAAAAAAAAAAAAAAAAAATGCAAATTGCAAATTTGTGAAGTTCCATATTTAAAAAATAAAAATAACCAAAAAAAAGGAAAGAAAAATTAGCCAGGCACATTGGCTCACACCAGTAATCCCAAAAATTTTGGAGGCCAAGGTGGGAGGATCGCTTGAGCTCAGGATTTCAAGACCAGCCTGAGCAACATAGTGACACCCCTATCTCTACAAAAAATACAAAAGTTAGGCTCAGGCACGGTGGCTTATACCTGTAATCCCAGCACTTTGGGAGGCTGACATAGCCTGGTCATTTGAGGCCAAGAGTTCAAGACTAGCCTTGCCAACATGGTGAAATGAATTGTGACCACTCCACCACACTCCAGCACAGGAAACAGAGATATACACACACACACACACACACACACACACAGTTTATATTGGCGGAGGGTGGGCAAGCGGGGAAGCTCAACCTCACTAAAAATATGATAAATGCAAAATTAAAACAACTGGGTATTATTCCATCTCCAAAACCCTGAAAGAAATTAAACTGTCAAATCTTTGGGGCCAGGTATGGTGGCTCATGCCTGAAATGCCAGCACTTCGTGAGGCCAAGATGGACAGCTCACCCGAAGTCAAGAGTTCAAGACCAGCCTGGCCAGCATGACAAAACCCTGCCTTTACTAAATAAATAAATAAATAAGCCAGGTGTGGTGGCACGTGCCTGTAGTCCCAGCTATTCCAGAGGCTGATGCACAAGAACTGCTTGAACCCAGGAGGCAAAGGCTGCAGTGAGCCAAGACTGCACCACTGTACTCCAGTCTGGGCAACAGAATGAGACTCTTCTCTCAAAAAAAAAAAAAAAAAATTTGGTAATGATATGGAGAAACAGTCTAATAGAAAACTTAGTATCAACTAGATACAACCAATGTGGAAAGAATTTGGTAATTCCAGTAAAGTTGACAATGCACATACACTTCAGATTACCAATTCCACTTAAACCCAAAAGAAGTTAATCATGTACAAAGATGTTACAGCCACATTGTTTCAAAATTGCAAAAGACTGGAAATCTAACTGGTTCCTAGTAATGAATAAACAGGCCACAGTACATTTATAAACTATAATAGAATATAAATAAATTCAGATTAATGATTTCCCAAACGTTTTCACCTTAGGACTCCTTTACAATTAAAAAATTTGAGAGTCCTCAAAGAGCTTTTGTTTAAGCAGGTTTTATTATCAATATATGCCATTTTAAAAGTTAATGCCTAGTAATTTTATGAAAAGTTTATGTTTATTCACTTACAACTAATAAACCATTAATATTAAAATAAATAACACTGTATTAAAAGCACTTTCCACAATACAAATTTTTTATGTTAATCTTTTTAATACCTGGCTTAAATAAAACAGGTGGATTCCTCTGCTTCTGCATTCAACTTTCTGAAACATCTGAAACTCATGAAAACTCTACCACACACTACATTCATGGGATAATAAGAGTAAAAAAGGTAAATAACTTCTCGGTAATTTTTTAAAAATTGTTGTCCTCTCACAGACATCTGAAAAGGTGTCAAAGATCCCCATGGGTTCCTAGACCAACTTTTGCTAACTAAAATATCAGATCCACAGGTAACATGAAAGAAACTCAAAAACTCACTGTTGAGTGATAAAAAATACACAAAATGACACATACTATAAGATACCTTTCTAAAGTTAAAACATATACAAGGAAACCAGTCTGGGGAAAAAGAAGCAGGATTGGGAAGCACTGAAGGCAACTCTTAAAAATGACCTGCAGAATTCCATTTCTTTAAATAGAAAAAGACATGAAACAAGTATGAAAGACTGTAACATTTGTTACAATCTGTTACAACAGGTTACAATCTGATACAACAGATTTGTACTTGCTTACTAAGGACAGAAGATTTTATAATTTACATGTTTAATATATTAACTATGTTAATTTTTTAAAGCCATTGACGTAGATTCCTTTGTGCCTCGCCTAGATTCAAATTCCTCTTTCAATAAAGCAGGATTTGGTTATAATCTAGTAACTCTCCTTTATTTCATTTTATAGCTAAATAAGAAAGCCGTATTTATGAAAATACTACGTTTAAAACAATTTAGTAAGAAAAAGAATGGGCTCTCAGTCAAGGTAGATTGTGAAAGCAATGGTGGAAACATGTTCCTGAGAATCCTGTTTTCATCTGCTGCCTTCAAAAAATGAACACTGTATGCCTTAACACTTACACAATTCAAGAACACTATTTGGCTCCTTAATTTCAATTGGAGGGCTATTCAACTCCATATAAATCTCTGCATTAAATTATTCAAATAATTTTTTTTGGAATAATGTTTACCTGCCAAATCATTCTGTTAGGGGAGCAAATCAAGATAAAAAACTATCTACTATAATTAAGGGCTTCGAAAGTTACGGATGAAAACAAAAAGTATAAACCTACATTTAGAATACAACAGATTAAATGTTAATTAAAGATATCTACACTGCTCTAAGTGACCGGGATGAAAGAAAGCCTGGTAAAACAGTAGTGTTTGGAAAAGAAAGAAAGCAAAATCAGGAATTATTTTAGGGACTGTAGAGTAAAAGAGGTTCACTGCACATTACTGGGTACCTACTATGTGCCAGATAAATTTGGTTTCAGCAATATTAAATATGGACTGTTAATAAGAGATCAGGATGGAGATGTTCAGTAGATAACTGTAAATGCTAGATGACAAATTTGATGAGTGAAAATAAGAGACAGTGATGCAGGGAAGAAGTTTGGAGAAAACAAGTAATTAATCTCAAGTTAAATTCCACATTTAGGTTAGGAAAACGACCAGAGCAGACAAAGAAAGCACAGAGAGTTTCTGAAATGCAGTACACTTTCATGTGACACACCAATTACCTGCTGTGGAACCGTTTCACACGTTGAGTAATACCAGATTTAGAAGCGGGAAGAATAGAAATAGAAGGACTAGTGAAACTAAAGAGAAAACAGATAAGGTTTTTGTAAAACGAGCATACCTATGAATATTTATAGGAAGGGGCAGGCAGAGAGCAGGGAAAAGGGTAAGCAGAGAAAATGGACGTTGAAAGCAGCACTTCTTCCATCGGCAAAAGAAAGTGTAGGAAGAAATAAAGAAAAAGCATGAAATGAATGAGATCAAACATATGTATCATATAGTCATCTATCTTTCTCAATTAAGTAATGAAGTAATATGCAGGGGTTGAAGAATTTAAGAATCTAAAAAGGTTTGCAATTGCCAGAATGCATAAATGCAACAATTCAAAGGATATCAATTAGTGACAATACAAATGTAAACAGAGTTATTTATTTATATATATATATATATATATATATATATATATATATATAAGCACTGTATGCTTTTTGAAAGAAAGTTAAGGGGCATCTATTTGAATATAAATACACATAAATTAAAAACTAACAACTCATTCATCCAAGATAATTGGCTACCAGAGGTCGGGCACCGTGGTTCACGCCTGTAATCCCAGCACTTTAGGAGGCCAAGGTGGATGGATCATCTGAGGTCAGGAGGTCGAGACCAGCCTGACCAACATGGCGAAACCCCATTTCTACGAAAACTAGAAAAATTACCTGGGTATGGTGGCACACACCTGTAGTCCCAGCTACTTGGAAGGCTGAGGCAGGAGAATCGCTTGAACCCAGGAGGCGGAGGTGGCAGTGAGCTGACAGCAACAATGCACACCAGTCAGGTGACAGAACAAGACTCCGTCTCAAAAAAAAGAAATTGGCTAGCAGATCATCAAGGTCTATCCTATCAGGCAAAAAAATATTTTATACTTAACAATTTCCTTATAAATCCTTTAAAACTATACACTTGCCTATGTTCTTTTTGCACATCCACTGCTGATGTACTGGAACATCTACAGCTGCTGTACTGTACAAGATACAGTTCTATCTTCTTTACAGCTCTTCAGCTGTCAAGATATAAGGCAACTACCTCTACAGTTTATGCTGACCCCTTAGCAAGTCGACAACTAGATTGCATTAAAAATTTGTTTTGACGGCCGGGCGCGGTGGCTCACGCCTGTAATCCCAGCACTTTGGTAGGCCGAGGCGGGTACATCACGAGGTTAGGAGATGGAGACCATCCTGGCTAACACCGTGAAATCCCGTTTCTACTAAAAAAAAAAAAAAAAAAAAAAAAAAAAAAAAAAAATTAGCCCGGCGTGGTGGCGGGCGCCTGTAGTCCCAGCTACTTGGAAGGCTGAGGCAGGAGAAAGGCGTGAACCCGGGAGGCGGAGCTTGCAGTGAGCCGAGATCGCGCCACTGCACTCCAGCCTGGGCGACAGAGCGAGACTCTGCCTCAAAAAAAAAAAAAAAATGTTGCTTTGACTACCTCCTGCAATATACTGCCAGACACTTTTGTAAAACAGCAATCTCTAGTTCCCTTCAGACTTCTTTGAATCATCAGCGTTGTGATCTGCTGCAGTCTGGGAAGACTCAAAACCTGCGTTTTATTTAGTAAAAGTCTAGGAAGCAAGTGCTGCTATACATGTTCTCTGAAACTACTGCATCTAGGACCCTCACATATAAAGTGAACAGCGAATTTTAAAGCTTGCTTACCTTCACCAAGAAGAAGGGCAAAGTTTCATAAAGCCACCTGAAGGCTACTGCATTTCTGAAAACTGCTTTTCTAAACATACCTCTCAAACTGATTTCCTGTACTTTTGTAATTTTCAACCACAGTAAATACAATTTTGCTTACAATTTTAAATAGGAGCAAAAGATTATTTGGTAAACTTTCGATGCAAAAACGAAGCAGCAGTCTAGTAGAGACTAATTCAAAAAATAGCCACATTCTTTTTTTTTTTTTTTTTTTTTTGAGACAGACTCTCACTCTTGTTCCCCAGGCTGGAGTGCAGTGGTACGATATCGACTCACTGCAACCTCCGCCTTCAAAGTACCTGGGATTACAGGCGCGCGCCGTCATGCCTTGCTAGTTTTTTTGTATTTTTAGTAGAGACGGGGTTTCGCTATGTCGGTCTCCAGCTGGTCTCGAGCTGGATTCGAACTCCTGACCTCGGGTGATCCGCGCACTTCGGCCTCCCAAAGTGGTGGGATTACAGGCGTGAGTCACCGCACCTGGCCAAAAAACAGCTACCTTCTTGATCATCCATCCAGTAACGAAAACACTTATCAATTTATACTAGCTCTCAATCCTTCTCAACCTTTAAACTTTTGTAACAGCTGCAGCCAGAGCTCAGCATAAACTGAGGTGTGCCACCAATGTATTTCAAAATCTACTTTTTACAGCCTAAATTTGAATCCCTTTCCTATCTATATTATCCACTCCAGCAAAACCGTAAATATTTGCATCTTCTACAGACATTTCATTCTTGTAATGACCTCTCCTACTCCCATTCCTCACCCTAGCTAAACCCCATCTACTTCAGGATTCCCAATTTTGCAAACTGAAACCTCGCCTTCCTGTGAAATGCCCGCAGCAAACTTTTTGCAGTCACGTTCTGCATTAAGAGCCTTTTAAATCTTTCTTAGCACCTAGCACTGTCCAACGCTCACATTACTGTGCTCCAATTTTCCAGCAAAGTTGTACAAAATGCTAACAAAAGTATTTTGAAGATGAAACTGTATAAGAAATTTCAAATAAAATCTCAATGTCATCATGGGTATATGAACCTACAAGTAATGCATGAATTGTCTTTCAAAAAGAAAAATACCTCTTCTGCCTATTTTCCATCTCTTACTCAAAAAAAGTACACGGACTAAAAAAAAGCTCGCTCGTTTAAATACAGCTCATCAAAAAAGTGTTTCCACATAAATGGGAAAAGTCGCCTTGGGGAAATTTTATTCCTCTGCCCTCGTGCTGTATAATTTGTACTGTACTGTCTATTGGACGAGTGCCTAATAACTTTTTCATAATAAATTCCAGTTCTATTTTGCAGATCCTCGAAGAGGCAATGATGGTTGAAAAATAAGCGCATCGAAGGTCCCCGAACAGCCACATAATGACTTTAATTAGGGGAAAATAAAATTTTCTGGAATTTATGTGCTCTCGTGAGCCTAGATGCCCGAATTGCCACCTGCTGAAACGGGTGGCTGTAGACTCTCGGAAGGGCACAGAGCCGGGAGCGCTGAGGGGCGAAATGACCCCGGCGCCCGAACGGACGCCTGCGGCATGTCACCTAAAGCGTAGCCGACACTGCACCCAGCCAAGGATGGGCTGTGAGGGGAAGGCCGAAAGGTGGCGCTGCCGCAGGCGTCTGGAACGTACGCGCGCATATGGCGACAAAGGCAAGGGCCGCCAAGGGAACGAGCACGCCCTGTTGCGCAGACACGCCGTCGCGCCGGAGGCTGCGCTGCCGCCGCCGCCGCCGTCCTTTTCCCCATCCCCGCCTCAAGGATCATAACCGAATTTTTTTTCCAGATACCGCCTTCAAGATGGCGGCTCCGCCTCCCGACAACACTCTCAATACTCCCCAGCAGCAGGCGCCTAGCAGCCGCCATCTTGCCCCCCCGTCCCTCCTCCCCTTCGCGGACATTTACATAGCGAAAATAGGCCCAGCAGGCCTCCGGCCTTCACCTCACGCCTGCAGCCTTCGCCTTCTCGCCCCCGTGCCGTGCCCTGCGTCCGCAGTGGTGTCGACCCCAGGTCCATCAACTGCCTTCCGGACAAACGGGCGAACTTTTCCCACCCTGCCCGCTTATGGAGCGCACCTCCGCAGCCGCTCAGGGCAACTGGATAATCACTAGGCCTAACTGCGGCCTCCTCGGGGCCTGTTCGGCGCCGAGCGCCACGCCGGCCGGCCTAGCGCGGGAGGGCGCCCTACGGGACGCCGACCAGGCCACAAACAGGTTACTGCGCGCGCACTAGGCCCCGCGGCCGCGGGGGCACGCGGGACTCACCCGACGGATGTGCGGGCGGTCGGCGACAGCGGCGGGTGCTGCAGGACGGCCTTTCTCTGGAGCACTGGGCCGGGCTCCGGCTGGTAGGGCGGGCGGAGGGAGGGAGGAGGGGCCGAGTTCGGAGCTGACAAAAAGCGGCCCAGCTCCCCGGCACGGGCCCGCCGTCAGCACGTCACGTCACCGCCCGGGAGAGAGACCCAGGAAAATGCGGGATGGTAGTTGGGCCCCCTCCGCCCGGTGGGCCTCTCGGCGCCCCGGGTCGGCGCCGGTCACGCCCCGAGTCCGGGGAGTCCAGTGACCTCACTGCGGTGGGGTCTCCGGCAGCTGGAGTTTCCGTCACAACGTTCCTTTTCTCCGCGCGCCCGCCGTCACCACTACTTGCGCACCACCGCCTTAGTTGGTTGCGTGCAGGCAAGCGGCCCCGCACCGGGCCAGGCCACCCCCTGCCATCTCCGGTGGACCTGGGATTCCTAATCTCCCACACCCTGCGCCAGGCTCTCCCGAGACCTATCGCCTCTCGGCGCCAGTCCTAGCCAAGGCGACAGATCTCATTGTTGCAGGCCCTTAGACCCCCGCCCTCAGTAAACGTGTTTACTTTATTCCTAGGGTTGAGGAGGAAAGCAGATACAGACATATAGCATTCCCCACTGTCTCCTTTGTTGGCTTTAAAAAAAAAAAAAAAGAAAGTAAATGGACTTGCCACAGTGTACAGGCAAGAGGAGGGGAGGATTATCCTAATCAATTACTGAGCCAATTGATTTTTTTTTTTGCGTTAACGTAGGTATTTTGACCAAGATTTGTAATGTCTAGTGTGTGTTCTTTATGGCAGTGTTTCATCTTTTGGCATCCTTGAAATGTCAGTTTTGTGTAATTGTCTCATGAACAATGAATTATGCACACCCTTTAATAAATGTAAACTAACAATTGGTTTTGGGATTGTCTTCTTACAAAATTATTTATCCTCTTAAAGTTTAAAAAGGCTTTAGAGACTGAGAGGAAAATGCATTTGATTAAACAGATAGTACTGATGAACTCCAAAAACGTGTATTGTGCGTTTTCATTACTTTACGTTTTAATGCACTCTAATTTCCCATTAAACTAGGTACCCAAACTGTGTTTAAAAGTTGCTACTAAAAAGTTAAACATGCCTATCGCGGTCGCTCACCTCTGAGCGCTTTGGGAGGACAAGGCTGGAGTATCGCTTGAGGCCAGCAGATACAGGCGGACAGCTGTGATCAAGCCACTGCACTGCAGCCTGTGGGCCAGAGCCGGTAATCTCTAAATGTAGAGGCCAGGTATTTCAGTTTTCTAGCATACCTATTTTTAAAACTCAGAAATCATCTTGTCCTTAACTGAGAAACCTAAAAATCATAAAATGCTTTACGAAAGGAAAACCAGTGGTACATAGTTGATATAATGAGTTAAGTGCTGGATAGCAATTCTCTTTTCAAACCATTGGTTTGACCTTGTTTTCTCAAGTCGTTACCTTTTGTTTCAAAAATGATAAATGAGAGGCGGCTCACCCCTGTAATTCCAAAACACTTTGGAAGGCTGAGATAAAATCAGCTTGTGCTCAACTGATAGTTGGAGACAAGCCTGGAAAATAGGGCGATCCATCTGTACAAAAAAATTGAAAAGTGCTGGGTGTGGTGGAACACGCCTGTAGTCCCAGCTATGGGAGGCTTAAGCCCATTTGTTTGGGCTATGATTGTGATACCACACTCCAGCCTTTATGACAGAGCAAGATCTTGTATTTAAATAAATAAAATCTTGTTTGAGAAATTTTCATCAAGTTAAGACAATGTATTTTGAGGAAAGAAAAGTATTTTTACATTATGTTTTTCAGTAAAAAAAACTAGCCTAATTTCATATGTAATTAACATAATTTCAAAATACTGATAACGTTCAAGTTTTTAGAGATGGTACCTGGCTCTGCCACGCAGGCTGGAGTGCAGTGGCACCTTCGTAGCTCACTCAGCCTTGAACTCTCTAGTTCAGTGTAACAGCCATGGCCTCCCAAAGCACTGGGATTACAGCTGTAAATCAAATATTTTCCAAAGGCCTTCATTTAATGTCCTTATGGTATGTCAAGAATGGGGTCTCATGTCAACTGTAAGCAACATGGTCAGAACACAAAAAACAAAGTAAACATTATTGTTAATACTTACATGCTTATCAAAAATCCTAGTATTATTATAAAAAATTACCAATATATAAAGCACTTCAGAAAGAACAGCTAAGGAATATAAAGGAAAAAAGATGTTTCCTAATCTGAAAGATCAGAGGTAGTTCAGATAAACTAAACAGCTTTTGACATTACTTTTCATTCATAATGTTAACTTTTGGTGAGAGACAAGGAAAGGATGGTCTAATTTTAGTTGTCATATAAGAAAAGTCTTTATTACAGTCCAAGAAAGATTATAAATGACTACAGATGAAGTCAACTATATTTACATCTTTTTACCTTCTCAAAGAAACACAACAGAGGGAAAATTTATATAGGGACAATGATGAGATAATATTTCAAAAGTATATTGTGAATACAAAATAACTGGCTGCAAAGCAAATAAACTTTTATTACTGATAAAATGTACCTGTTGTTCACAGTTGCTAATGTGTCTCAGCTTTGAAAGTAACTAACCAGCTCACAAAGATCGAGGTTTTAATAAAGTAGCTACAATTGCGTAAAGTAGCTACAATTGCATAAGCAAGACACAGTACAAGGTCTTTATATCTTTTTCCAAAAGAAGATGAAGCAGAAAAATAAAAAAAAGAATTTTACTTCCCATCACTAAGAAGGAATTTACAAAAAAAGATTATACTAGTTTTTGAGAAAACAGAGACACTTCAATAGTATAGAATTAATTCATACACCAAAATGTAAAAGCATGTTATCTAAAATGTCTCAAAAAGCTTTATGGAACCAAAATTTAAAGACATCGTATCTAAAACTTCTCAAAAAGTTTTATAGAACTAAGTGTATTAGGCTGCTATGGAGGCCATAAGAAAATACCACACTGAGTGGTTTAACCAAAAGAAAATTCATTTTCTCACAATTTCAGAGCCCCAAGTCCAAGATCAAAGTATTGACAAGTTTGATTTATTCCAAGGCCTTTCTACTTGGCTTTTAGTGATGGCAGCCTTATCACTATCTTCACCTGATCTTCGCTCTGTGTCTATGTCTGACTCTCTTGTAAGGACACTAGTCATATTGGATTAGAGTTCACCCATATGACCTCATTTTACCTTAATTACCTCTCTGCAAATGCAGGCACAGTTGGAGGTACTTGGAGTTATAATCTGGGGAAGGACACATTTCAGCCCAAAATACTCTACCCTCTGGTCGCTCAAAATGCATCTTATTTCTCACATGCAAAATACATCATTACTAGGGTGTGTCAAAAAACGTTGTGATCCAGTTTGAAGAGGCTTGTACTGGCTAATGATGAGTATCAAAATACCATTTTATTGCAATGCACTTAAACCCATTGGATATATCCAAAATCATGAATCCACAATAACATATTTCAAAAAATTATCACCTTTGAGGAATGGTAGAGAACCAACACTTGTGAGAAGAATGTCTGATTATGAAAAGAATAACATGTTTATCTCATACAAATGTTTTTCCCAACCAAAAACAGTGATAGCAATTTTCTCTTTATAGATGTATTCCCTTTTTCAGTCTGTTTTCTTATCACATGTCATGTAGCCTCCAGAAAACTCCACTGTACACCTGTGGAAAAATAAGAATGCAAGAGGCAGTATTTATGGTTATATGGAAATAGTTTTTTGTTGTTGTTGTTTTTGCTTTTTTTTTGCTTTTGTTTTTAGACAGGGTCTCACTCTGTCACCCAGGCTGGAGTGCCGTGGCGCGATGTTGGCTCACTGCAAGCTCCATCTCCCGGGTTCATGCCATTCTCCTGCCTCAGCCTCCCGAGTAGCTGGAACTACAGGTGCCTGCCACCACGCCCTGCTAATTTTTTGTGTGTGTATTTTTAGTAGAGATGGGGTTTCACCGTGTTAGCCAGGATAGTCTTGATTTCCTGAGCTCGTGATCCACCCGCCTCAGCCTCCCAAAGTGCGGGGATTACAGGCATGAGCCACTGCGGCCGGCCTGGAAATAGTTTCGAAATTCCCCTGTAAGGGTCTGAGGACCCTCAGACCACACTTTGAGAAAGAATTTTTGAGTTAATATGTAACAATAGTTACAAGGAGTGTCCTTGTTATAGCATGTCCAGAGAATGCACAAATATGCCATTTTCATCCACCGAAAGAACTGTAACAGAAATGAGGGATTGCATTTCAGATATTCGGAGTTCTTACATGGCAGACATTGACAACAAAGAAGAGTCTGATCTTGGACAAGATTTGGGGCTGGGTGTGTTTGCTCACACCTGTAATCCCAGCACTTTGAGAAGCCGAGACGGTGGATCACCTAAGGTCTAGAGTTTGAGATCAGCCTGGCCAACATGGCTAAACTACATCTCTACTAAAAATACTAAAATTAGTTGCGCATGGTGGCTTATGCCTATAATCCCAGCACTTTCGGAGGCCAAGGTGGGTGGAGCACCTGAGCTCAGAAGTTCAAGACCAGCCTGGCCAACATGGTGAAACCCCAACTTCTACTAAAAATACAAAAATTAGCTGGGTGCAATGATGTGTGCCTGTAATCCCAGCCTCTTGGGAGGCTGAGGCAGAATTGCCAAGATGATGCCACTGCATTGCAGCTTGGGCAGCAGAATGAGACCTGGCCCAAAAAAAAAAAAAAAAAAAATTGACTGGCATTGAAGAAGTAGAAAAAGAGCAGGCATGGTGGCTCACGCCTGTAATCCCAAGTCTTTGGGAGGCCAAGGCAGGTGGATCATGAGTTCAAGACCAGCCTGGCCAACATGGTGAAACCCTGTCTCTACTAAAAATATAAAAATGAGGTGTGGTGGTGCATGCCTGTAGTCCCAGCTAGTTGGGGGGCTGAGGCAGAGAACTGCTTGAACCTGGGAGGCGGAGGTTGCAGTGAGCTGAGATTGCGCCACTGCATTCCAGCCTGGGCAACAGAGTGAGATTCCGTTTCAAAAAAAGAAAGAAAAGAAAAGAAACTGGTGAAGAGAAAAAAATCAAAGCAGATTTGTTCAGATGATGGAAAATCCTCAGATTCTTACAGGCTTTAGAGAAAGACTTGATGGTTTGGTAGAAAGATCAACAAGATATATTGAATGATTGCCTAAGGTAGTTAAAGATGAGTCAATGCTCTCAAAAACCTGCAACTTAAATGTGCACAGACAGAGGCCAAATTCCATGAGGAAGTTTATGATCCTGAAAGGAAGTATGCTACTCCCTCTCAGCCTCTATTTGATACGTGATTTGATGTTATTAATGCAATTTATGAACTATGGAAGAAAAATGTGAATTGAAAGGAGATAAAGAAGACAAAATTTCAGCTGAAATTCAAAGCTGAAAGAAAGGCCAAGGTTGATCATGAAAAAATGGATGAAGAAAACAAAGACCCCAAAGGAATTCCTAAATTTTGGACTTGCTCAATGATATAGTTCAGGAACATGATGAACCTATTCTGAAGCACTTCAAAGATGTTAAGGTGAAGTTCTCAGATGCTGGCCAACCTATGAGTTTTGTCTTAGAATTTCACTTTGAACCCTGAATATTTCACAAATGAAGTGTTGACAAAGACATATAGTATGAAGTCAAAATCAGAAGACTCTCATCATTTTTCTTTTGATAGGCCAGAAATTATGGGTTCTACAGGGTGCCAGATGGACTGGGAAAAAAGGAATAAAAACCTTTAAGAAGCAGAAACACAAGGAATGTGGGACAGTTTCTAATGGGAATAAAACAGTTTCTGATGACTTTAATTTTTTTCTGCCTGCCTGAAGTTCTGAGAATGCAGTTCTGGATGATGCTGCTGAAGCTGTATTTGCTGCAGACTGTGAAAATGGTGTATAATCCCAAAATCAGTGTTACACTTTACTGGAGCAAGTGTTGAAGATGATGATGATTATGATGAAGAAAGTGAAGAAATGGATGATAAAGAGGAAACAAAAAGAGATGAGAAAAATTATCCAGGCTGGGTATGGTGGCTCACACCTGTAATCCAACACTTTAGGAGGCTGAAACAGGCATATCACTTGAGGCCAGGAGTTAGAGACCACCCTGACCAAAGATCACCCTGGTAAAATCCCATCTCTACCAAAAAATACAAAAATTAGCCAGGTATAGTGGTGCACACCTGAAGTCTCAGCTACTTGGGAGGCTGAGGAAGGTCAATCACCTGAGTCTAAGAGGTTAAGGCTGCAGTGAGCCATGATTATGTCACTGCACTCAGCCTTGTCTGACAGAGTAAGATCCTGTCTCAAAAAAAACAACAATAACAACAACAACAAAACAAAAATCCAAAGCAGGATCAAAACCTCACAGAGAGCAAGCATCAGTAAAGTAAGATGGCCTACCTTCTATTTCCCTAGAAAAGAAATATTTACATCTGACAAGTCTATTTCAAGGTTTGTGTTGTTGTTGTTTTCTTCTTCTTGTTTGCTTGCTGGCTTGTTTGGCTTGTTTTTGTTTTTACAGCCTAAAATAAAAACGTCAAATACAAAAAACAAGTGTACTCCAAGTAATTCATAAAGGATAGACAATAGGAGAATACCACCATTTTGCAAGCCCTAGTACCTAAATTAATCTAAAGCAATGATTATCAGTGACTACTAGAAGACAATTAGATATGTGCCCTATGAAGGATATGCACAATAAGATCTATAAAGTAATTTGTTTCCTAACTCCCCCAAAGCAGTCTTGTACACAATCAATCCTCTAGATTTAACCACTAATTTACAATAAATTTAGGGGCTTAGAGAAACATGTAAAGCCATGGTGGTGGGGAGTGTTTTACAGGAATAGATTAACACAATTCAGAGGGCGAGAAACTCTACTGGACAAATGACTTTTCTTTATTAAATAAAAAATATGAGATAAAAATGGAGGGGAAAATCAATAAATTAGAAGATGCTTAAAAGGCATATTAAACAATTATATAAGATTTATTTTAATCCTGATCCAGAAAAATAACTATAAAAACTATGACTTTGAAATATATAAACTCTTAATATGCCTATATATACAGATATACATGAATATACATCTATTATGATATACAGATACAATACAAATATATATATTATTATATACCTACATATTCTTGTTAATATGTTGAATTTGAATGCTTTTGTTAATGTTTATTTTGACATGATTATGTAATTATACCCTTAAAAAAGAATTCCTATCTTTTAAAGATATGCCATCAAAATATTTTTACAGGAAATGATATTTCAGAAATTTGCTTCAAAAAACTGTGAAGTTGAGGGAGGATCATGAGTGGATCGTGAAATAGGTGAAAGGTATACATGAAATAAGATTTGTCTATGTTGTAACAGTTATAGAAGCTGAGTGATGGATATGTGGAGTAATTCTCCATGTGTGTATATTCAAAATACTTCACAGGTTTGAAAGACAAACAAAGACAAATACAAAAAGAAAAGTTTACCTTCACATTCGCAAGTATTTTTGTTGAGGAACAAGCTCTATAGACACTACTTGCTTCCTTCATGTTTATGTGGACCAATGCAATACCACTTATTTTAAAAACAATTATCTGGGAGGCCAAGGCAGGTGGATCACCTGAGGTCAGGAGTCTGAGACCACCTTGGCCAACATGGAGAAACCCTGACTCTACTAAAAATATAAAAATTAGCCAGGCATGGTGGTATGTGCCTGTAGTTTAAGTTACTCGGGAGCCTGAGGCAGGAGAATCACTTGAACCTGGGAGGCAGAGGCTGCAGTGAGTTGAGATCATGCCACTGTACTCCAGCCTAGGCAACAGAGCAAGACTCCATCTCAAAAAAAAAAAAAAAAAAAAAAAACAAATAAAACAAAACAAGAAACCAATTAGCATAACCAAGGAACAGCTAAATAAAAATCAGACCACTTATATTTCAGAAAACAGCTATAGTTCTTAAATTTCCAGAGAAACATCTTTTTTAAAAAATGGAGATTTCTGGGCCCTACTTGTAGGAACTGATTTTAGGGCTCACGTATCAATAGTTTTCCCCAACACCAAGCACATTTTGAAAAACATTAGCACACTCTTGTAAAATCCTCTTTGTCCAGATCTAAAATAGCTTTTCCACTGAGGATTGTTATTAGTCCATTCTCATGTTGCTAATAAAGACACACCTGAGACTGGGTAATTTATAAAGAAAAGAGGCTTTCCTGACTCACATTTCAAAATGGCTAGGGAGGCCTCAGGAAATTTACAATCATGGTGGAAGGGTAAGCAAACACATCATTCTTTACATGGCAGCAGTGAGGAGAAGTTCCAAGCAAAAGGGGGAAAAGCCCCATATAAAACCATTAGATCTCATGAGAACTCATGCACTATCATGAGAAAAGCAGCAAGCAGGTAACTGCTCCCATGATTCAGTTACCTCCCACCAGGCCACTCCCACAACATGTGGGGATTATGGGAACTATATAATTCAAGATGAGATTTGGATGGGGACATAGCTAAACCATATCAATGATTAATGTTACCAAAATGCCAGGGGTTCAGTCTAGGTCCTGCTGCTCACTGAAAAGGAAGCCATTTACTAAAACAAGAAATATTTATAGGGAAGAAGCTTAATCAGGTGCTGCAGGCAACAAGATAGGAGCTCAGTCTCAAATCCATCGTGCCAAGCAACTAAAGTCAAAGGTTTATATAGCAGGGAAAAAATATAAACACATGCAGAAAAACAGAAATTATGGAGGTGTAAAGAAGATGATTTGGTCAACAGGAAGCAAGTGGTCAGTTATGCAATTGCAATGGGTGAGGGGTCTGGCATCTCATTATCCCAATGGAGTAATCTAGTTATGTTTTAGTTCCTTGATACTACATGGGAGGCCTGATGGTGGGCTGCCTGAGAAAGGAACTCTGATAAGACACACTTTAAAACTTTCCAAGTTCAAGGAGGTATATTTGCCAAAGTTGAGGATACACACCCATGACATAGCCTCAGGATGTCCTCATGACATGTGGCCAAGGTGTTTGGGGCACAGCCTGGTTTGATACATTTCAGGGAGAAATAAGACATCAGTCAATATATGTAAGAAGTACATTGGTTCCATCCAGAAGGGCAGGGACAACTCAAAGCAGGGAGGGGGCTTCCATGTTACAGGTAGGTGAGAGACAAATGGTTGTATTCTTTTGAGTTTCTGAGAAGCCTATCCAAAGGAGGCAATCAGATATGCATCTAACTCAGTGATCAGAAGGATGACTTTGAATATAATGGGAAGCAGATTTGCCCTGAGTAGTTACTACCTTGAAGGGACCCAAGATATTTTCCTTTCACAATGCTGAGAAGGGGCATTTTCGGTAGCTCCATATGATGGTGGCCTCTTGGCCAACTGGGAATCAAAGGTGAAATTAATACTATAGTTTTCTTCTGAAACACAATCTTTCTCTCTCCAGCCCCTTACTTCCACCAAAGATACATAATAGCAGGACCATTTCTAATTAATATTACACACAAATTCTGTTCAGGCCAGGCACAGTGGCTCATGCCTATAATCTCAGCATTTTGGGAGATTGAAACAGGCAGATCACTTGAGCCCAGGAGTTTGAGACCAGTCTGGGCAACATAGGAAAACCCTATCTCTACCAAAAAACAGAAAAAATAGCTGGGTGTGGTGGTTCATGCCTGTAGTTGCAGCTACTCAGGGGGCTGACGTGGAGGTATCATCTGAACCTGGAAGGTTGAGGCTGCAGTAACCTGCAATCACACCAATGCTCTACAGCCTGAAAGCCAAACTGAGATCCTAAAAAAAAGGAAAAGAAAAAATAATTTCAAAAGAGAAAACCAAATTTTACCTTTTTCTGTTGTATTATTAAACTATTTTAATAAACCCTTATAAACAAATCTATTTGATATGATTTTGCTGTGTCCCCTGTGTCACATTGTAACCTCAAATTGTAATCCCTATAATCCCCACCTGCTGTGGGAGGGACACAGTGAAAAGTGAATGGATCATGAGATTTTCCCCATACTGTTTTCATGAAAATGAGTGAGTATCACAAGATCTGATGGTTTTTGTATGTCCATTTTCTTGCTGCTGATAAACACATACCTGAGACTGGGCAATTTATAAAGAAAAAGAGGTTTAATGGAACTCTGAAGTCAATTGCTATAAGGAAATAGTGAATAGTTAGAATTGACTGACACCATATTTTTTTAAATTAGATTATTATAAGGTAAATATTTCATAAGCCTTTAATAATCATTTACAATTTTTTTATTATTATACTTTAAGTTCTGGGGTACATGTGCACAACATGCAGGTTTGTTACATAGGTATACACATGCCATGGTGGTTTGCTGCACCCATCAACCCATCATCTACATTAGGTATTTCTCCTAATGCAATCCCTCCGCTAGCCTCCAACCCACCAACAGGCCCCAGTGTGTGATGTTCCCCTCCCTGTGTCCATGTGTTCTCATTGTTCAACTCCCACTTATGAGTGAGAACAAGTGGTCTTTGTTTTCTGTTCTTGTGTTAGTTTGCTGAGAATGATGATTTCCAGCTTCATCCATGTCCCTGCAAAGGACATGAACACATCCTTTTCTATGGCTGCAGAGTACTCCATGCTATATATGTGCCGTATTTTCTTTATCCAGTCTATCACTGATGTATATTTGGGGTGTTTCCAAGTCTTTGCTCTTGGGAACAGTGCCACAATAAACATACATGTTCATGTGACTTATAATAGAATAATTATAATCCTTTGGGTATATACCCAGTAATGGGATTTCTGGGTCAAATGGTATTTCTAGATCTAGGTCCTTGAGGAATCGCCACACCGTCTTCCACAATGGTTGAACTAATTTACACCCCACCAACAGTGTAAAAGCATTCCTACTTCTCCACATCCTCTGCAGCATCTGTTGTTTCCTGACTTTTTAATGATCACCATACTAACTGGTGTGAGATGGTATCTCATTGTGGTTTTGATTTGCATTTCTCTAATGACCAGTGTTATGAGCCTTTTTTCATATGTTTGTTGGCTGCATAAATGCATTCTTTTCAGAAGTGTCTGTTCATATCCTTCGCCCACTTTTTGATGGGGTTGTTTGTTTTTTTCTTGTAGATTTGTTTTTCTTTGTAGTTTCTGGATATTAGCCCTTTGTTAGATGGATAGATTGCAAAAGTTTTCTCCCATTCTGTAGGCTGCCTGTTCATTCTGATGATAGTTTATTTTGCTATGCAGAAGCTCTTTAGTTTAATTAGATCCCATTTGTCAATTTTGGCTTTTCTTGCCATTGATTTTGGTGTTTTAGTCATGAAGTCTTTGCCCATGCCTGTCCTGAATGGTATTGCCTAGGTTTTCTTCTAGGGCTTTTATGGTTTTAGGTCTTACGTTTAAGTCTTTAATCCATCTTGAGTTAATTTTTGTATAAGGTGTAAGGAGGGAATCTAGTTTTAGCTTTCTGCATATGGCTAGCCAGTTTTCCCAGCACCATTTATTAAATAGAGAATCCTTTCCCCATTTCTTCTTTTTGTCAGGTTTGTCAAAGATCAGATGGTGTAGATGTGTGGTATTATTTCTGAGGCCTCTGTTCTGTTCCATTGGCTATATATCTGTTTTGGTACCAGTACCATGCTGTTTGGGTTACTATAGCCTTGTAGTATAGTTTGAAGTCAGCTAGTGTGATGCCTCCAGCTTTGTTCTTTTTGCTTAGGATTGTCTTGGCTATGCAGGCTCTTTTTTGGTTCCATATAAAATTTAAAGTAGCTTTTTTCCAATTCTGTGAAGAAAGTCAATGGTAGCTTGATGGAAATAGCATTAAATCTGTAAATTACTTTGGACAGTATGGCCATTTTCACGATATTGATTCTTTCTGTCCATGAGTATGGAATGTTTTTACATTTGTTTGTGTCCTCTCTTATTTCCTTGAGCAGTGGTTTGTAGTTCTCCTTGAAGAGGTCCTTCACATCCCTTGTGAGTTGGATTCCTAGGTATTTTATTCTCTTTGTAGCAATTGTGATTGGGAATTTACTCATGATTTGGCTCTCTTTTTGTCTGTTATTGATGTATAGGAATACTTGTGATTTTTGCCCTTTGATATTGTATCCTGAGACTTTGCTGAAGTTTCTTATCAGCTTAAGGAGATTTTGGGCTGAGATGATGGAGTTTTCTAAATATATAGTATGTCATCTGCAGACAGAGACAATTTGACTTCCTCTTTTCCTAATTGAATACACTTTATTTGTTTCTCCTGCCTGATTGCCCTGGCCAGGAATTCCAATACTATGTTGAATAGGAGTGGTGAGAGAGGGCATCCTTGTCTTGTGCTGGTTTTCAAAGGGAATGCTTCCAGTTTTTGCCCATTCAGTATGATATTGGCTATGGGTCTGTCATAATAACTCTAACTATTTTGAGATACGTTCCATCAGTCCCTAGTTTATTGAGAGTTTTTAGCATGAAGGGCTATTGAATTTTGTCAAAGGCCTTTTCTACATCTATTGAGATAATCATGTGGATTTTGTCATTGGTTATGTTTATGTGATGAATTACATTTATTGATTTGCATATGTTGAATCAGCCTTGCTTCTCAGGGATGAAGCTGACTTAATTGTGGTGGATAAGCTTTCTAATGTGCTGCTGGATTTGGTTTGCCAGTATTTTACTGAGGATTTTCACATCGATGTTAATCAGCAATGTTGGCCTGTAATTTTCTTTTTTTGCTGTGTCTCTGCCAGGTTTTGGTATCAGGATGATGCTGGCCTCATAAAATGAGATAGGGAGAATTCCCTCTTTTTCTACTGTTTGAAATAGTTTGTAAAAGAATGGTACTGGCCGGGGATGGTGGCTCATGCTTGTAATCCCAGCACTTTGGAAGGCTGAGGTGGGTGGCTCACCAGGTCAGGAGATCGAGACCGTCCTGGTCAACATGGTGAAACCCCACCTCTACTGAAAAAATAAAAAAAATTAGCTGGGCATGGTGGCGCGTGACTGTAGTCCCAGCTACTCGGGAGGCTGAGGCAGGAGAATCACTGGAGTGGAGGCTGCAGTGAGCCAAGATCATGCCATTGTACTCTAGCCTGGTGACAGAGTGAGACTCTGTCTCAAAAAAAAAAAAAAAGGAACGGTACCAGCTCCTCTTTATACCTCTGGCAGAATTCGCCTGTGGATCTGTCTGGACCTGGAGTTTCTTTAGTTGGTAGGCTATTAATTACTGCCTCAATTTCAAAACTTGTTATTGGTCTATTCAGAGGTTCGACTTCTTCCTGATATAATCTTGGGAGGGCATATGTGTCTAGGAATTTATCCCTTTCTTCTAGATTTGCTAGTTTATTTGCATAGAGATGTTTATAGTATTATTATCTGATGGTAGTTTGTATTTCTGTGGGATTGAGGTGGTATCCCCTGTATCATTTTTTATTGCATCTATTTGATTCTTCTCCCTTTTCTTCTTTAGACTGGCTAGCAGTCTATCTAATTTGTTGATCTTTTAAAAAAAAACAGCTCCTGGATTCATTGATTTTTTGAAGGGTTTTTCATGTCTCTATCTCCTTCAGTTCTGCTCAGATCTTAGTTATTTCTTGTCTTCTGCTAGCTTTAGAATAACCAGTTTAGAGAAGAACATAAATGACCTGATGAAGCTGAAAAACACAGCACAAGAATTTCGTGAAGCATACACAAGTACCAATAGCCAAATCAAACAAGCAGAAGAATAGATATCAGAAATTGTAGATCAATTTAATGAAATAAAGTGAAAGGACAAGATTAGAGAAAAAAGAGTGAAATGAAACACACAAAGCCTCCAAGAAATATGGGACTATGTTAAAAAACCAAACCTACATTTGATTGATGTACCTAAAAGTGACAGGGAGAATGGAACCAAGCTGGAAAACACTCTTCAGGATATGATCCAGGAAAACTCCCCCCACTGAGCAAGACAGGCCAACATTCAAATTCAGGAAACACAGAGAACATCACAAAGATATTCCTCGAGAAGAGCAACCCAAAGACACACAATCATCAGATTCACCAAGGTTGAAATGAAGGGGAAAATGTTAAGGGCAGTCAGAGAGAAATGTTGGGTTACCCACAAAGGGAAGCTGATCAGGCTAACAGTGGATCTCTTGGCAGAAACCCTACAAGCCAAAAGACAGTGGAGGCCAATATTGAACATTCTTGAAGAAAATAATTTTCAACCCAGAATTTCATATCCAACCAAACTAAGCTTCATACGTGAAGGAGAAATAAAATCCTTTACAGACAAGCAAATGCTGAGAGATTTTGTCACCACCAGGCCTGCCTTAAACAAGCTCCTGAAGGAAACGCTAAACATGGAAAGAAACAATCGGTACCAGCCACTGCAAAAACATGCTAGATTGTAAAGACCATCGACACTGTGAAGAAACTGCATCAACTAACAGGCAAAATAGCCAGCTGGCATCATAATGACAGGATCAAATTCACACATGACAATATTAACCTTAAATGTAAATGGGCTAAATGCCCCAATTAAAAGACACAGACTGGCAAATTGAATAAAGAGTCAAGACCCATCAGTGTGCTGTATTCAGGAGACCCATCTCACATGCAAAGACACACATAGGCTCAAAATAAAGGGATGGAGGAATATTTACCAAACAAATGGACAGCAAAAAAAAGCAGGGGTTCCAATCCTAGTCTCTGATAAAACAGACTTTAAGCCAACAAAGATCAAAAAAAGACAAAGAAGGGCATTACATCATGGTAAAGGAATCCATGCTACAAGAAGAGCTAAGTATTATAAATATTTATGCACCCAATATAGGAACACCCCGATTCATAAAGCAAGTTCTTAAGACCTACAAAGAGACTTAGGCTCCCACACAATAATAGTGGGAGACTTTAACATCCCACTGTCAATATTAGACAGATCAATGAGGCAGAAAATTAACAAGGATATCCAGGACTTGAACTCACTCTGGACCAAGCAGACCTAATAAACATCTACAGAACTCTCCACCCCAAATCAACAAAATATACATTTTTCTCAGCACCACATCACACTTATTCTAAAATTGATCACATAATTGGAAGTAAAACACTCCTCAGGAAATGAAAAAGAATGGAAATCATAACAGTCTGTCAGATCACAGTGCAATCAAATTAGAACTCAGGATTAAGAAACTCACTCAAACCACACAACTACGTGGAAACTGAACCCTGAATGACTACTAGGTAAATAAGAAAATAAAAGCAGAAATAAAGATGTTCTTTGAAACCAATAGAACAAAGACACAACGTACCAGAACCATTTACAATTTTTTATTAAAGAGCAGATCAATGCTCCAAGAAAACCCTGTTATTCTGACACAGAGGACCAGGTCCTGGACTTACATCAGTGTGCTTTTGACATTAATGTTTAATATATAGAAAATCTCTCAACTAATTTTCAGATAATTCAAAGAATCAGAATCATCCATCTTCCACAATAGTCCCTGGGCCTATATGGATTGAATAGTTTTGATTTCTGGACCTCTGTTTCACAAGAACCGTGCATTTTGATTGATTAGTATGGAAACAAAAAAGAGCCCTCATAGCTAAAGCAACACTAAGCAAAAAGAACAAATCTGGAGGTGTCACAGTACCCAACTTCAAACTATACTACAAGGCTTTAATTACCAAAACAGCTATGGTATTGTTGCAGGACTTTTCATTAGTTCAGCTAAAGACTGGGCTCCTGTCCGTCCCACAGCCACAGAAATTTAGGTTCACAGATGGCTTAAAGGGTGAGTAATGGAGGGTTTTATTGGGTGAAAGGGGAAAATAAAGGGAAACAGGGATCTTTCACAAGGCCAGATCAAGACCCATCAAATGAAGATGGGTCTGAAGGTAAGGCTTTAATTGGTTTCAACATTCAAGATTTAAGAGAAGTAGAGGATACAAACAAATGGAAGAACCTTCCATGCTCATGGGTAGGAAGAATCAATATTGTGAAAATGGCCATACTGCCCAAGGTAACTTATAGATTCAATGCCATCCCCATCAAGCTACCAATGACTTTCTTCACAGAATTGGAAAAAACTACTTTAAAGTTCATATGGAACCAAAAAAGAGCCCGCATCGCCAAGTCAATCCTAAGCAAAAAGAACAAAGCTGGAGGCATCACTCTACCTGACTTCAAACGATACTACAAGTCTACAGTAACCAAAACAGCATGGTATTGGTACCAAAACAGAGATATAGATCAATGGAACAGAACAGAGCCCTCAGAAATAACGCCGCATATCTACAACTACCCGATCTTTGACAAACCTGAGAAAAACAAGCAATGGGGAAAGCATTCCCTATTTAATAAATGGTGCTAGGAAAACTGGCTAGCCATATGTAGAAAGCTGAAACTGGATCCCTTCCTTACACCTTATACAAAAATTAATTCAAGATGGATTAAAGACTTAAACGTTAGACCTAAAACCATAAAAACCCTAGAAGAAAACCTAGGCATTACCACTCAGGACATAGGCATGGGCAAGGACTTCATGTCTAAAACACAAAAAGCAATGGCAACAAACGTCAAAATTGACAAATGGGATCTAATTAAACTAAAGAGCTTCTGCACAGCAAAAGAAACTACCATCAGAGTGAACAGGCAACCTACAAAATGGGAGAAAATTTTTGCAACCTACTCATCTGACAAAGGACTAATATCCAGAATCTACAATGAACTCAAACAAATTTACAAGAAAAAAACAAACAACCCCATCAAAAAGTAGGCAAAGGATATGAACAGACACTTCTCAAAAGAAGACATTTATGCAGCCACAAGACACATGAAAAAATGCTCATCTTCACGGGCCATCAGAGAAATGCAAATCGAAACCACAATGAGATACCATCTCACACCAGTTAGAATGGCAATCATTAAAAAGTCAGGAAACAACAGGTGCTGGAGAGGATGTGGAGAAATAGGAACAATTTTACACTGTTGGTGGGACTGTAAACTAGTTCAACCATTGTGGAAGTCAGTGTGGCGATTCCTCAGGGATCTAGAACTAGAAATACCATTTGACCCAGCCATCCCATTACTGGGTATATACACAAAGGACTATAAATCATGCTGCTATAAAGACACATGCACATGTATGTTTATTGCAGCACTATTCACAATAGCAAAGACTTGGAACCAACCCAAATGTCCAACAATGATAGACTGGATGAAGAAAATGTGGCACATATACACCATGGAATACTATGCAGCCATAAAAAATGATGAGTTCATGTCCTTTGTAGGGACGTGGATGAAATTGGAAATCATCATTCTCAGTAAACTATCGCAAGGACAAAAAAACCAAACACCACATGTTCTCACTCATAGATGGGAATTGAACAATGACAACAATGACAACACATGGACACAGGAAGGGGAACATCACACTCTGGGGACTGTTGTGGGGTGGGGGGAGGGGGGAGGGATAGCATTAGGAGATATACCTAAAGCTAAATGATGAGTTAATGGGTGCAGCACACCAGCATGGCACATGTATACATATGTAACTAACCTGCACATTGTGCACATGTACCCTAAAACTTAAAGTGTAATAATAATAATGATAATAATAATAATAATAAAAGGAAGTAGCTGCCTTTTTCAGACCCAGAAGTCAAAACTCTGTAACTTAACAGCACGAATAGTAGTTAATAGAATATTTACAATGCAGAATGTCTACTGCAGTTCTCTCTAGCATTTAACAAGTTAAAATACTGTAATTTGATGTTTAGTAGTTGCTGCCTCCAGAATTTCAAACCACTGTGGGAAAGTGAATAGGTATTAGCCAATCAAACAACAGAAAGAAACAAAGGGCATCCAAATCAATACATAGAAAGTCAAACTGTCACTGTTCAGTGATGATATGATTGTATACCTAGAAAACCCTAAAGACTCATCCAAAAAGCTCCTAGATCCAATAAATGAATTCAGTAAAGTTTCATGATACAAAATCAATGCACACAGTGCACACACCAACAATGACCAAGCTAAGATTCAAATCAATAACTCAATCACTTTTATGACAGCTGCCAAAAAATAAGTTAAAATACTTAGAAATATACCTAACCAAGGATGTGAAAGATCTCTACAAGGAAAACTACAATACACTGCTGAAAAAAATCACAGACGATAACACAAACAAATGGAAACACATTCCATGCTCCTGGATGGGTAGAATCAATATTGTGAAAATGAGTATAGTATCAAAGCAATATACAAATTTTTGATGCAATTCCCATCAAAATACCACTATCTTTCCTCACAGAACTAGAAAAAAACAATCCTAAAATTCATATGGAAACAAAAAAGAGCCCTCATAGCTAAAGCAACACTAAGCAAAAAGAACAAATCTGGAGGTGTCACAGTACCCAACTTCAAACTATACTACAAGGCTATAATTACCAAAACAGCTATGGTATTGTTGCAGGACTTTTCATTAGTTCAGCTAAAGACTGGTTTCCTGTCCATCCCACAGCCACAGAAATTTGGGTTGACAGGTGGTTTAAAGGGTGAATAATGGAGGGTTTTATTGGGTGAAAGGGGAAAATAAAGGGAAACAGGGATCTTTCACAAGGCCAGATTCCCCTCCTAGAAGACGAGGAGCCAGGTTCCTCCCAGCTGTAAACGTGATGAGCTCCCAGAGCCTCCCCCCACTTCAGTGGGCAGACTGGTTGGCGTTTCTCCAGGGACTCCCTACCCCCTGGCTGTCTCGGTATTGGTATAAATACAGGCACAAAGACCAATGGAAAAAATAGAGAACCCAGAAATAAAGCCAAATATTTTCAGCCAACTGATCTTCCACAAAGGAAACAAAAACATAGGAAGGAAAAAGACACCATATTAAATAAATGGTGCTGGGATAACTGGTAAGCCACATGTGGAAGAATGAAACTGGATCCTCAACTCTCCCCTTACACAAAAGTCAACTGAAGATGAATCAAAGCCTTAAATCTAAAACATAAAACCATAAAAATTCTAGAAGATAACATTGGAAAAACCCTTCTAGACATTGGCTTAGGCAAAGAGTTCATGACCAAGAACACAAAAGCAAACTCAATACAAATAATTTAAAAAAACAAAAATAAATAGATGTAACCTAATTAAACTAAAAAGCTCCTCTGCAATGCAAAAGAAATAATCAATAGAGAAAACAGACAACACACAGAGTGGGAGAAAAATCTTCACAAACTATGTGTCTGAAACCTGGGAGGCCAGATGGTTAGTTTTCTGAGAAAGGAATTCAGATAAGACAAATTAAACGTTCTCAAGTTTCAAAGCTTGTAGGGTCTATGTCTATGTTTATTAAAATATGATTATATATATCAGTTTTATAAAATAATTTGTCCTGTTTCATTAAGCCATAAAACTAATGGGTTTACATTAGTAAAAACCATTTACTAATGGTTTTTACATTATTTTACCATAATATGCCCAGTATACCAGGAGTCATTCTTTCAAGCAAGAAGAGTGTTCTCCATTCCCTGCTCCTTAGCCAACCAACTCTTGATACTGTTTATGTCTGTCAACCCAGGAACTGTGAAATGCTAACATTGTTTTAATTTTATAATTTCTTTGTGGTATATTAGCTATGCAATTTTTCTTTTCTGAAAATTTCCTTGGAACAACCTGTTGCTTTGTTGTTGTTGTTCTTGTTTTTTTTTTTTTTTGTTTGTTTGTTTTTTTTGGAGTTGCTCTTCCTTCTCCTTTTTTTGTAGACACATTTTACACATTATGAATATCAATCTTTTTTTTTTTTTTTCTGAGACAGAGTCTCGCTTAGTTGCCCAGGCTGGAGTGCAGTGGCGCTGATCTCAGCTCACTGCAAGCTCCACCTCCCGGGTTCACGCCATTCTCCTGCCTGAGCCTCCCAAGTAGCTGGGACTACAAGCCCACGCTGCCACGCCCGGCTAATTTTTTTTATATTTAGTAGAGATGGGGTTTCACGGTGTTAGCCAGGATGGTCTCGATCTCCTGATCTCGCGATGCCCCCCTCTCAGCCTCCCAAAGTGCTGGGATTACAAGCGTGAGCCACCACGCCCAACCCCTTTATTTCTTTTTCAAGCCTGACTCCTCTGGCCAGGACTTCTAGTATTATAGTAAAGTGGTAAAAGTGAGCATCTTCTCTTGTTACAGATTTTACAAAAAAAGACCTCCAATTTTTTTTTCTGTAAAATATGATTTTAGCTGTAAATTTGTCCATAAAGTTACTGTTTAGATGTAAACATGTCCTGTATTATTTTGAGGTATATCATTACTTCTACGGCCAGTTTAAGTCTTTTGTCATAAAGTGTTGTTAAATTTTATTTAAGAGCTTTTATTTTGCATCCGTTGAAATAATCATGTGGTTTTTGTTCTTTCTTCTGTTAATGTATCACATTTACCGATTTGTGTATGTTGAACCATTATTTCATCCCTGGGATATAGGACATTTGATCATGGTAAATAATATTCTTAATGTCAAATTTGGCTTCTTAGTAATTTATTGAGGATTTTTTGCATCTAAGTTTATCAGTGCTACTGGCATGTAGTTTTTCTCTTTTTGTTGTGTTCCCGTCTGGTTTCGGTATCAGGGTAATGCTAAACCTACAGAATGAGTTTGGAAGTATTCCCTCCTCTTCCATTTACTTTTAAGGAGTTTGAGTAGAACTGATATTTGTTCTTCCTTAGATGTTTCATAGAATTTAGCAGTGAAGGCATCAATTTTGTGCTTTTCTTTCACGGATGACTTTTTCTTATGGCTTTAATAACATTACTCATTACTGGTGTGTTGAGGTTTTCCATATCATCATGGTTCACCTTGGAACTTGTACGTATCCAGGGTCTGTATTCGGTGGTCTCAGTTGTTACATCTTTTTTATTTCTGATTTTATTCAATCTCCTCTTTTCTTAGTCTGATAAGGTTTTGTCAATTTATCTTTAAAAACAATTATTTCATTAATATTTTGTATTTTCTCAATTTTATTTATATATGCTGTGATCTTTATTATTTCTTCTTTCTACTTGGGTTTGGTTTGTTCTTACTTTCCTAGTTCCTTGAGGTGAACCATTAGGTTGTTATTTTGATGTCTTCTTACTTTTTCAATATAGTTGTTCATTGCTATAAACTTCCCATTTAGTACAGCTTAGTACTGTTTTTGCTAAACACAGAATTTGGTGTGTTGTAGTTCCATGTTCCTTTGCTTCAAAAAAATTAAATTTCTTCACTGTCTTTTGACTTCAATAAAAGAAAAAAAAAATAAATGTTTCCTTAATTTCTATGCTGACCAACTGGTCATTCAGGAACATAGTGTTTAGCTTCCACGTATTTGTGTATTTCCCAAGATTCTTCTTGTTACAGATTTCTAGTGATATTCCACTGTGGTCAGACAAGATACCTGATATTATTTTTATTTTTTTGAGTTTTTTCAGACTTGTTAAGTGGCCTAAGATATAATCTCTTCTGCAGAATATTTCACGTGCTGATAAAATTCTGTGCAGCAGTTGGATAAAATGTTCTGTAAATGTCATTTAAGCCTATTATGTCTAGTACACTGTTTAACTCTGATATTTCTTTGTTGATTTTCTGTGTGAATCCATCATTACTGAGAATGGATTCATAGTCACCTACTATTATTATTTGCATTCTGTCTCTCCCTTGAGATCCATTATTTGCTGTATATACTTGGAAGCTCTGGTGTTGTGTGCAAATGTATTTGTAACTGTTATATCCTCTTGCTGAATCATTATATAGTGACCTTTTTTTGTTTCTTTTTGTGTTTGATTAGTCATTTATTTAATCTGACATAATCATAACTACTTCTACTCATTTTTGCTTTCCAATTGCATGGAATATTTTCTCCCACTTGTTTGTTTTCAGTCTCTGTGTCTCTATAGGTAAAGTGGGTTTCTTGTAGGTAGCATAAAATTGGGTCTCATTTCTGAATCCATTCAGCCACTCTATGCCTTTTAACTGATCAATTGATTCCAATTACATCCACTGTTATGAAGGACTTACACTGGGTTTGGTGAAGCTGCAGTGAGTCATGATTTTGCCACTGCCCTCTGCTGGGTGACAGAAGAAGATCCTGTCTCAAAAAAATATTTTTTTTAAAAAAAGCACTTACTACTGCCATTTTGTGGCAAGTTTTCACATTCTTTTTAAACTGTTTTCCCTTTCTCACTGTCTTTCTTTGTGGTTAAGTGATTGTCTCTGGTACTGTGGCTTAATTCATTGCTTTTCAGATTGTCTCTTAAAGATGTTTGCATTGTGGTTACCATGAGGCTTACAAAAAAAAAATCTTACAGTAAGTTATTTTAAGTGAAGACGACTAATTTTAGATTATACAGAAACAAAGGCATAAAGAAAAATTCTGGACATTAATTCAATCACCTCTACATTTTGACTTTTATTTGTATCAATTTATATATTTTTATATTACTCACCTCAACATGTTATTGTAGCTATCAACATTTGGACTTCCTACTACAATTAGAAGTGAATTGCATATTACAATTACATTTCTCAGTTTGTCTGTGTACTAAATTTAACCAGTGGCTTTTATACAGTCAAATTCATTCTTTTTGCATGGTGCTTTATTATTTCACAGGTACCCTGGCCAAAGAAGAAGAGTTATTTTTAGCATGTCTTGTAAAGTAGTTCTGATGGTGTTGACTTCTCTGATTTGTCACTCTGAATAACAATTTATCTCTCCTTCATATGTAAAGACTAGCTTTTTGAACACAGTATTCTTGGATGGTAGGGGTGTGTGTGTGTGTGTGTGTGTGTGTGTCTTTTCCCCTGTTTTTAGCCCTTTGAAAATATTGTCTGCTCTCTCCTGGTCTGTATGGTCTCTGCTGAGAAGTCTGTTCCCAGAAAATTCTGAGCTCCTTGATGTTATTTGGTTTTCTCTTGCTGCTTTTAGGGTCCCCTCTCTGTCTTTGATCTTTTAGAGTTTTATTGTTATATGCCTTGGGGTAGACTTCTTTGAATTGAATCTGTTTGTTGTTCTCTGAACTTCTCGTACATGAATACATCTTGTTAAATTTTGGAAACTTTTTTATTACTATTTATTTGAATAAGTCCCCCACCCCTTGCTGTTGCTCAACTTTGTCTTGAACACCAATAATTCTGAAGTTTGTTTTTTCTTTGAGGTAATTTTCTATTCCTTTTTATCCTTTTTTTTTTTAATTTTCCTCTGTGTGTTTTCAAATAGCCTGTTTACGAGCTAATTCCTTATTCTGCTGAATCCATCCTGCTGTTAAGAACCTCTAACAAATTTTTCAGTTTATCAAAAGTATTTATTAGTTTCAAGATTTGCATGCTTTTAAAGTTATATATTTGAATGTCCATTAAATTTCTCTGATAAGTTTTTGATGGCTTTTCTGTATTGTGTTGAAGATTATTGAGTTTCCTTAAAATTCTACTTTGAATTATTGGTTAGAGAGCTCACATATTGGCATCTTGTTAGAGTCAGTCACTTTTTTCTTGTTTTCTCTGTTTGGAAAGGTCATAGTTTCCTCTTTGCTGTTGTTTCTTATGCATGTCTTTGCATTGAAGGATAGGTTACATATTGCAGTCTTACCCGTCTGGCTTCTTTTGCTTTTTATTGGATATATTTGCTTAAATTCTTTACTGCTAAGTTGCTGCCTCTTTTTAACTCTAGTTTGTATCTTAAGCCCAGGTTTGCTTGGGTGTATTAAATAATTCGAGTACTGCCCAGTTTGAATGAGGGAGGTTCCAAAGGGGATATCCCAGCAGAGTGGGAATGCTACCTAGGCATTTTTGGCCAGGGTACCTATGAAATGCACTTCTTGCATCATAGTGCTCCTGACAAGCCACTCTGATTTGGCATCTCTTTGGCCAAGTTACAGAGCACATTTTCCAGGGATAGGGATGGTAATCTCACTGCTCCTCTTTGTTTCTGCCTATCCTCATGGATATGTCTCCCTTGTCTTTCACTTTTCTGTGATCCTTGCATCTGTCTTGTCCTCACATTTGAGTTCTGGGATGTTGCTGATGATCATCTTGGTGCTGTATGTCTGTAAGTCAGCTCGATTTTACAGCATCGTTTTTGAACTAGACCCTGAAAATTTAAAACTGGCTTGTTTGGGAAATTGACTGTCATTTCTCTTTTTATTTGTTGGAAGGTCAGATAATTTAATTCACATTTGGGGATGCGGAACATTAGCATGTGTGACCCCAGTTTAATTTTTAGTCTGGTCTTTTCGGACCTACTGCAGAAGCATAGTTCAATAACATCCTATAATTTTTACTTGACATTATGAGAAGAAAATCAAAAGGGAAAACAGAAAATACTTTAAAAATAAATGAAAAAAATTGACACACCAAAACTTGCAAAATGCATCTAAAGCATGACTTAGAGAAAAAGTTTGGCAGTAAATGCCTACATTAAATGAGAAGACCTCAGATCAATAACCTAACCTTCTATCTAGTGACACTGCAAAAGAAAAGCAAAACCAAACCACAAACAAGCATAAGATAGAAAATAATAACGATTAGGGTGGATTCAGTGAAACTGAGAATAGTAGAGACAATCAATAAAACAAAATGCTGGCTGTATAAAAAATAACAAAATTGACAAATTTTACATGAAAAGTTTCATATAACTAGTGAGAAACAGGACTAGCTGGATTTCCTAGGCCGACTAAGAATTCCTAAGCCTCTATGGGGAAGGTGACTGCACCCATCAATAAACAGGGGGCTTGTAACTCAGCTCACATCCAACCAATCAGGTAATAAAGAGAGCTCACTAAAATACTAATTAGGCTAAAAGCAGGAGGTAAAGAAATAGTCAAATCATCTATAGCCTGAGAGCACAGGGGGAGGGAAAATGATCGGGATATAAATCCAGGCATTCAAGCCAGATCAGGCAACCCCCTTTGGGTCCCTTCCAATTATATGGGAGATCTGTTTTCACTCTATTAAATCTTGCAACACCACACTCTTCTGGTCTGTGTTTGTCCAGCACAAGCTGAGCTTTCACTCACCGTTCACCACTGCTGATCGCCGCCATCATAGACCCGTGACTTCCACCCCTCCAGATCCAGCAGGGTGTCCAATGTGCTTCTGATTCAGCAAGGCACCCATTGCCACTCCCAATCTGCCTAGAGGCTTGTCATTGTTCCTGTGCGGCTAAGTGCCCAGGTTCGTCCTAATTGAGCTGAACACTCGTTGCTGGGTTCCACAGTTCTCTTCTGTGACCCACGACTTCTAATAGAGCTATAACTCACCACCTGCCCCAAGGTTCCATTCCTTGGAATCCATGAGGCCAAGAACCCCAGGTCAGAAAACAAAAGGCCATCTTGGGAGCAGCCAGCCACCATCTTGGTAGCTCTAAGAACAAAGAACCACCTGTAACATTAGAATCAGAGATATCAGAAGGGACATTACTATCAACCCTGGAGAAAAATTAAATGAAACAAATACCTTGAAAGACACAAATGATTAGAATAAAATTAAGAGAAACAAATCTGAATACATCAATTACCAATTATTCAATTTTCTGAACACCAACTATTGTCCAACCATTGAATTCATATCTGTCTCTATCTCTCTCTCTTTTTTTTTTTTTTTAACTCCTGGAGCTACCCATTGTGAACTATCAATTATTTCCAACACTAAATAACTGGAGTTTCGGAACACTCCACAGATTTAAATAGAGTTATGCCTATTTAATATATGAGTTCTTAGTCCCAAGAAATCTGTACTACTGACAGACTGGCTACATATTAGTTTCCCATAATTCTCTCCTCAAGTCCAATAATTCCCTGGAATGGCTAAAAGAGAAGCCAGAAAAATACCCATGATTGCTGCCTTATTACAAAAGATACACTCGACTTCCATGCCCAGTCTTGGCATGCTACTGTGAGCTTAGAAGTGCTTCCAACTTTCCGTCAGTGACTCCATCTTAGGCTACCAATGCCATATTGAACTACTCTTGAATACTGAAAAACAGAAAGGAATGCTGAAACACACTTCTTTCACAACAACCATATTTTCAACCATATGCAATATAAAGAAACTGGTCCTAATACTGACAAACATTCTATATGTGCTTTTCTTTGGATTAACACAACTACACTTACTCTACTAATGATTACAGACTTAATTGTTGAATCCACCAATAAAATAATGAGACAATTTACATAGTCTAAATAAGTTCCTTTAAATGTAAGCCCCCACACCCTCTCAGGTGGTACAGTCTCTAACTGCTACCCAGGTTGCAACATCCATTTCAGAGTAAATGCTTATTTGTGTTTGATTGGTTGATTCTGTCTTTCTTTTTAGGGTTCACAGTTGGTGTCAGGAGCATGGTTGCAAAGTGACTTTATCCTTCATGGTTCCAGGGGTCTTGGTCATCCATGAGGTACCTACTGAAACCTTGTTGCACTTTGGGATCTTAGTGTCCTTTGGTACCAGGAGTGATAAGCTCTCTTGCATGCCAAACAACTTTCATATTGATTGAGATCTCTCTTTTGTTCAGGATTTGTTGGCATCGCTCCTTGTCAGTCTTTTTGCTTGTTTCCATTTTAAGTTCAGACAAGGAAAGGATAAAAGCCTTTGTTTTAAGCAAACTGAAAGTTCCTCTCTCTCCAGAGGGAATCTAGATTGTTATAGGTTTAGGTGTTATGGGTTTTTAATCTAAATTATGTGTTTTTATCTAAAAGGCTCTGTTTGACTAACAATAGTTTGGAGTTGCAGTAGTCCCTTTGGGGCTCATTTGGCCTTTTCAAACTATTTTTTGAAGACAACACCTTGAAAATAAAAAGGGTTGCACTTCTCAGAATGAGTAAAGGGTATGGAAGTGTAATTTAATTAGCACTCAGAAGCCTTAAAAAGTCCACTAAATCGAATATACCTTCTCCGCAAGACAGTATGTCTCTACCCTTCTAGAGTAAAAAAAAAATAAAAATAAAATTAGAATAAAAATTTAGACCATGGGTGGTTCATGCATGTAATCCCAGTGCTTTGGGAGGCAGAGTTGGAAGAATTGTCTGAGGCCAAGAGATCAAGACCAGCATGGGTAAAATAGTGAGACTTTACCCCCACAAAAGAATAAAAACATTAGCTAGGCATGGTGGCATGTACCTATAGTCCTGACTATTTGGGAGGCTAAGGCAAGAGAATCTCTTGAGCCCAGGAGTTGGAGGCTGCAGTGAGCTATGACTGCACCACTGCACTCCAGCCTGGGTGACAGAGTAAGACCTTATCTCTTTAAAAAATGGAAAAATAAAGTAAAAATCTTAACAGGAATGTCCATCTCCAACATTTGTAAATTCTAAAATTACAATTCTTTCCCCTTTACAGTCACCTAAAACAGCTGAACCTAAACTTGTCTACAAGCCCCCAAACAAGGGAGCAGAAGGCTTTCCCATCCTTCCTCCAATTCCTGCGTATGCATTTCAACACCACTCAATAATAAACAGAATCTATTAGTGGCTTCTTACACTCTCTGGTCCCACTGAGTTGCATGCAATAGCCAAAAAGTTTGCCAGGGTGACTGAGGAGGACTCCATAAATTTGCCCAGGAATGTACAGCAGTTGGCCCATTTTATATTGCTGGATATTGATTTATATCAGCTAATACGTCTGCTTTTGGGTCAGGATGAGCAAATTATTGGGCAAAAATGGCAAGACAGAAAAATTCTTCTGATGATTTAAGATGAAATCTGCTGCACCATATGAAAAAAAAGCTACAGAGTTGGCTAAGAAGAGCTATTCCTTTAGCTTCCCAAAGCAAGAATGAAATAAATTTCAGACTTGCATTCCAAAAGAAAGTAAACACGTTCATGATAATAACAGATTTGTGTAATATTTAAAGAAAATTCTGGAATTTTGTTTAAATTCCATGCCTGTTGCTCATGCCTGTAATCCTAGCACTTTGGGTCACTGAGGTGGGAGGAGTGCTTGAGTCAAGGAGTTTGAGACTAGCCTGAGCAACATAGTGGGGCACTGCCTCTTAAAAACTACAAAAATAAGTAGGCATAGTAGCTCATGCCTGTAATTCTAGCACTTTGGGAGGCCAAGGTGGGCGGCTCACCTCAGGTCAGGAGTTCAAGACCAGCCTGACCAGCATGGTGAAACCCCATCTCTACTAAAAATACAAAATTAGCTAAGCATGGTGGTGTGTGCCTATAATCTCAACTACTTGGGAAGCTGAGGCAGGAGAATTGCTTGACCCTGGGAAGCGGAGGTTGCAGTGAGCCGAGATCGCGCCATTGTAACTCCAACCTGGGCAATAAGAGTGAAACTCCATCTTGAAGAAAAAAAAAAAAAATCACCTAGGCACACCTGCCTGCAGGCCCAGTCAGTCAGGAGGCTGAGGTGGGAAGATGGCTTGAGCCCAGGAGGTTGAGGCTGCAGTGAGCCATGATGGCACCACTGCAACAGAGTGATGGGCAACAGAGTGAGACCATGTCAAGAAAAAATAAGGAGAAGGAGGCTGGGTGTGGTGGCTCACGCCTGTAATCCCAGCACTTTAGGAGGCCAAGGCAGGTGGATCACGAGGTCAGGAGATCAAGACCATCCTGGCTAACACGGTGAAACCCCGTCTCTACTAAAAATACAAAAAATTAGCTGAGTGTGGTGGCGGGCGGCTGTAGTCCAAACTACTTGGGAGGCTGAGGCAGGAGAATGGTGTGAACCCAGCAGGCGGAGCTGGCAGTGAGCCAAGATCACGCCACTGCACTCTAGCCTGGACAACAGAGTGAGACTCTGTCTAAAAAAAAAAAAAAAAAAGAAAAAGAAAAAGAAGAAGGAGGAGAGGGGAGGAGAAAAAAGGGAAAAGGGTTTACTTTCTTAGTTACCAGAAAAGGTAAGTTTCTGGATCAGATCCCTATTACAAATTGGTATCATTATTGTTTCTAGTAACTTTGTTCATCTATGAATATTTGTCATAGTGCTTAGCACAAGCAATGACTCCACCAACTCACATAATCCTGGCCTAGATTCCTGTGCACTATTTTGGTCAGCTAGGAAGTACCTGGAAATCCATCTGTGAGTCTGTAAAATGGCTCAGAAATTTCCCCCTCCATAAGCCATAAGGGACCCAACAGACATCCTCATGTTGCTCTGGCTTTTTAGGACAAGTTAGAATCAATGTAATAATTGATTGCATTGATTCACATTGGCACAAAGGAGCTATGAGGAGCTATGATGATTGTGTTTTAATGTTTTATTTTTCCATAAGTTATTGGGGTATAGGTGGTATTTGGTTACATAAGTGAGTTCTTTAGTGGTGATTTATGAGATTTTGTGCACCCGTCACCCAAGCAGTACAGACTCCACCCTATTTGTAGTGTTTATCCCTCACTCCCCTCCCACTCTTCCCCGCAAGCCTCCAAAGTCCATTGTGTCATTCTTATGCCTTCGTGTCCTCATAGCTTAGCTTCCACATATCAGTGAGAACATACAATATTTGGTTTTCCATTGCTGAGTTACTTCACTTAGAGTAATAGTCTCCAATCTCATCCAGGTCACTGCAAATGCTGTTAATTCATTCCTTTTTGTGTGTATACATATCTACCACAGTTTCCTTTTCTTTTTTTTTTTGGAGATGGAGTCTCGCTGTGTCACCCAGGCTGAAGTGCGGTGGCTCGATCTCTGCTCACTGTAACTTCCATCTCCCAGGTTCAAGCAATTCTTCTGCCTCAGCCTCCTGAGTAGCAGGTGCCCATCATCATGTCCCACAATTTTTTTTTTTTTTTTTTTAGTAGAGATGGGGTTTGACCATGTTATTCAGGCTGGTCTCAAACTACTGAGCTCAGGCAAACTGCCTGTCTCGGCCCTCCCAAAGTGCTAGGATTACAGGTGTGAGCCACTGCACCCAGCCTATACCACAGTTTCTTTATACACTCATTGATTAATGGGCATATTTGGATTGGTACCACGATTTTGCAATTGTGAATTGTGCTGTTATAAACATGCATGTGTAACTGTCTTTTCTGAATAAACAAATAATGACTTCTTTTTCTCTGGGTGGATCTCAGTAGTGGGATTGCTGGATCAAATGGTAGTTCTCCTTTTAGTTCTTTAATGAATGTCCACACTGTTTTCCATAGCTGCTGTACTAGTTTACATTCCCACCAGCACGGTAGAAGTGTTCCCTGATTACTGCATCCACGACAAGTACAGTTTTTTTCATTTTTGATTATAGCCATTCTTGCAGGAGTAAGGTGGTATTGCATTGTGGTTTTGATTTGCATTTCCCTGATCATTAGTGATGGTGAGAATTTTTTCATATGTTTTTTGGCCATTTGTATATCTTCTTTTGAGAATTGTCTATCCATGTCCTTAACCCACTTTTTGATGGGATTGTTTTTTTCTTACTAATTTGTTTAAGTTTGTGGTAGATTCTGGATATTAGTATTTTGTCAGATGTATAGATTGTGATGATTTTCTCCCACTCTGTCAGTTATTTGTTTACTTTTCTGACTATTCCTTTTGCTGTGCAAAAGCTCTTTAGTTTAATTAGGTCTTAGCTATTTATCTGTGTTTTTATTGCATCTCCTTTTGGGTTCTTGGCCATGAAATCCTTGCCTAAGCCAATGTCTAGAAGGTTTTTCCAATGTTATCTTGTAGAAATTTTATAGTTTTAGGTCTTAGAATTAAGTTCTTAATCCATCTTCAGTTGATTTTTGTATAAGGTGAGAGATGAGGATCCAGTTTCATTCTCCTACATGTGGCTAGCCAATTATCCCAGAACCATTTGTTGAAAAGAGTGTCCATTCCCCACTTTGTGTTTTGTTTGCTTTGTTGAAAATCAGTTGGCTGTAAGTATTTGAGTTTATTTCTGAGTTCTCTATTCTATTCATCTATGTGCCTATTTTTATACTAATGTCACACTGTTTTGGTGACTATGACCCTTTTTTTTTTTTTTTTTTTTTTTTTGAGATGGAGTCTCACTCTGTTGCCCAGGCTGGAGTGCAGTGGTGTGATCTCAGCTCACTGCCAGCTCCGCCTCCTGGGTTCATGCCATTCTCCTGCCTCAGCCTCCCGGGTAGCTGGGACTACAGGCGCCCGCCACAATGCTTGGCTAATTTATTGTATTTTTAGTAGAGATGGGGTTTCACCATGTTAGTCAGGATGATCTCAATCTCCTGACCTCATGATCCACCCGCCTTGGCCTCCCAAAGTGCTGGGATTACAGGCGTGAGCTACCACGCCGGGCAACTATGACCTTATAGTATAGTTTGAAATCAGGTAGTGTGATGCCTCTAGATTTTTTGTTTTTGCTTAGTGTTGCTTTGGCTATGCAGGTTCTTTTTCAATTCCATAAGAGTTTTAGAATTGTTTTTTCTAACTCTGTGAAGAATGGTGGTCATATTTTGATGGGGATTTTGTTGAATTTGTAGATTGCTTTTGGCAGTGTGGTCATTTTCACAATATTAATTCTATCCATCCATAAGCATGGGATATATTTCCATTTATTTATGTTGTCTATGATTTCTTTTAGCAGTGTTTTGTAGTTTTCCTTGGTTTTTTTGAATCCTTGGTTAGGTATATCTTAAGTATCTTAATTTTTTTGCAGCTATTGTAAAAGGAGTTGAGTTCTTGATTTCATTCTCTGCTTCTTCGCTGTTGGTGTATAGAAGAGCTACTGATTTGTGTACATTAATCTTGTATCCAGAAACTTTGCAGAATTATTTTATCAGTTGTAGGAGCTTTCTGGAGGAGTCCTTAAGGTTTTCAAGGTAAATGATCATATCATCAGCAAACAGGGACAATTTGACTTCCTCTTTACCAATTTGGATCCCCTTTCTTTCTTTCTCTTGTCTGATTGCTCTGGCTAGGACTTCCAGTACTATGTTGAAGAGAAGTGGTGAGAGTGGGCATCCTTGTCTTGGGTTCCTGTTCTCAGAGGGAATACTTTCAACTTTTCCCCATTAGGTATTATATTGGTTGTGGGTTTGTCATAGGTAGCTTTTATTACATTAAGCTATGTCCCTTGTTTGTCAATGTTGCAGAGGGTTTTAATCATAGAGGGATGCCAGATTTTGTCAAATCTTTTTTCTGCACCCATTGAGATGATCATGTGATTTTTGTTTTTAATTCTGTTTATGTGGTGTATTTTTGCAGGATTCAGGAGAATGAAAGAGACCTTGGGTTAAAACAGCAGGATCTTTATTGAGTGCACTCAGGTCCAGCTGACTCACATCCCAAGACTGGGCCCAGCACAAAGACAGCATCTGACTTTTATATACACTTCACAAAAGGGGGCGGGCTAGCTTGAAGGAAGCTTACAGTGGCATAAAAGCAGGGGTTCAGAGGCAGGACAAAGACAGGACTGCACATGACCATTGCCAAGCAACCCAGATGTCCATTATCTAGGTTTGTCTGGGCATGGGCTTATCCTATAACCTTCACTGTGGTGCCCAGGCAGCTGTAGTTCAGGCCTACTCAGGCTTCTCATGACCTCCGTTGTACTTTTTAGATAAACAGAATACTTGAAGTCACTAGTTACAGAGAACAAGGATCTATAAACTCATTCCATAAAACAAAGGAAAATTTGTTTTTCTTCTCCCTATGTTGAGGGAGTGCTGGAGAGTCTCCAGAGCACATTAGGTAATATTATCAAGACTTTTCCTGGGTCTGGGCTGTGCCTGTTGCTGCCTCTGGGACAAATCAGCCTAATGCAGGAAAACTTATTTCCCTTTCTTTTTAATTTTATTTTTCTTTAATATCTTGCCTTAGTATCACACTTACTCACTTGTGTATGTTAAACCATCTCTGCATCCCTGGTATGAAACCCACTTGATCATGGTGGATTATTTTTTGCTATGTTGTTGGTTTCAGTTAGCTAGTATTTTGTTAAGGATTTTGGCATCTATGTTCATCAAGGATATCAGTCTGTAGTTTTCTTTTTTGGTTGTATCCTTTTCTGATTTTGGTATTAGGATGATGCTGGCTTCAATTAATGAATTGGGGAGGGTTTCTTCTTTCTCTATCTTGTGGAATAGTGTCAAAAGGAATTGTACTGATTCTTCTTTGAATGTCTGGTAGAATTCTGCTATGAATTTGTCTGGTCTTGGACTTTTTTTGGTTGGTAATTTTTAAATTACTGTTTCAACCTTGCTGGTTGTTGGTCTGTTCAGGGTATCAAATTTAAGGGTCCTGATTTAAGCTAGGAGGGTTATATTTTTCCAGGAATTTATGCATCTCTTTTAGGTTTTCTAGTTTATATGTGTAAGGGTGTTCATAATAGCCTTGAATGATCTTTTTTATTTCAGTGGTGTCAGTTGTAATATCTCCTGTTTTGTTTCACAGTGAGGTTATTTGGATTTTGTCTATTCTTTTCTTGATTAATCTTGTTTATGGTCTATCAATTTTACTTATCTTTTCCAAGATCCTGCTTTTTGTTTTATTTATCTTTTGTATCTTTTTTTTCTTTGTTTCAATTTATTTCTGCTCTTATCTTGGTTATTTCCTTTCTTCTGCTGGGTTTTGGTTTGGTTTGTTCTTGTTTCTCTAGTTCCTTGGGATGTGACCTTAGAATGTCAATTTGTGCTCTTTCAGACTTTTTGATGTCAGCATTTAGAGCTATCAACTTTCCTCTTAACACCACCTTAGCTATATCTCAGAGGTTTTGATAGATTTTGTCATTACTGTCATTCAGTTCGAAGAATTTTTTAATTTCCACCTTCATTTTTTTTGACCCAATGTTCATTCAGGAACAGGTTATTTAGTGTCCATGTATTTGCATTGTTTTGAAGCTTCCTTTTGGAGCTGATTTCCAGTTTTATTCCACCATAGTTTGAAAGAGTGCTTGATATAATTTCAATTTTCTTAAATTTATTAAGGCTCTTTTTATGGTCTATCATATGGTCTAATCTTGGAGAAAGTTCCATGTGCTTTTGAATAGAATGTGTATTCAGTAGCTGTTGGATGAAATATATTAAGTCCATTTATTCCAAGGCATAGTTAAATCCATTGTTTCTTTGTTGATTTTCTGTCTTGATGACCTGTCTGGTGCTGTCAGTGGAGTATTGAAGTTCCCCACTACTATTGTGTTGCTGTCTATCTCATTTCTTAGATCTATTAGTAATTGTTTTATAAATTTGAGAGCTCCAGTGTTCAGTGCATATATGTTTAGGATTGTGACATTTTCTTGTTGGACAAGGCTTTTTACCATTACATAATGTCTCTCTTTGTTTCTTTTTTTTTTTCTTTGAGACGGAGTCTCGCACTGTTGCCCGGGCTAGAGTGCAGTGGCGTGATCTCGGCTCACTGCAGCCTCTGCCTCCCGAGTTCAAGAGATTCTCCTGCCTCAGCCTCTAGTAGCTGGAATTACAGGCACCCACCACCACGCCCAGCTGATTTTTTTTTTTGTATTTTTAGTAGAGATGGGGTTTCACTATGTTGGCCAGGCCGGTCTCAAACTCCTGACCTCGTGATCAGCCTGCCTCCGCCTCCCGAAGTGCTGGGAGTACAGGCATGAGCCAGCATGCCCGGCCCTTCTTTGTCTCTTTTAACCACTGTTGCTTTGAAGTTTGTTTTGTCTAATATAAGAATAGCTACCCCTGGTCACTTTTGTTGTCCATTTGCATGAAATTACTTTTTCCACCCCTGTAAGTTTATGTGAGTCCTTATGTGTTAGATGATCTTCCTGAAGGCAGCAGATGATTGGTGAGCTCATATCCATTCTGCAGTTCTGTATCTTTTAAGTGGTGCATTTAGGCCATTTACATTCAATGTTATTATTGAAATGGCTTGGTAATGGCTAATTATCTCCACATTTGTTTGTCTGAAAAAGATTGTACCTTTCCTTCATATATGTTGCTTAGTTTCACTGGATACAAAGTTCTTGGCTGATAATTGTTTTGTTTGAAGAGGCTGAAGATTGGAGGCAGAAACCCTATAAGCCCTTCTAACTTGTAGGGTTTCTGTGGAGAATTCTGCTGTTAATCTGACAGTTTTTCCCTTGTAGGTTAGCTGGTGCTTCTGTCTCACAGCTTTTAAGATTCTTTCATTCATTTTAACTTTGGATAACCTGATGCAATGTGCTTAGGTGAAGACTTTTTTGTGATGAATTTTCCAAGTATTCCTTGTGCTTCTTTTATTTGCATGTGTAGGTCTCTAGCAAGGCTGGGGAAGTTTTCCTCGATTATTCCCTGAAATGTGTTTTCCAAGCTTTTAGAATTGTCTTCTTCCTCAAGAACACTGATTGTTCTTAGGCTGTTTAACATAATCCCAGACTTCTTGGAGGCTTTGCTCATATTTTCTTCTCCTTTTTTCTTTGTCTTTGTTGGATTGGGTTAATTTGAAGTCCTTGTCTTCAAGCTCTGAATTTCTTTCTTCTACTTGTTGCTTGGGGACCCAGTGAGCTCCCATGGACTTTCTGCTGCTTCCTCTATCCCTGTATTTTGCTTGGCTTGGCTCTCTAACTTGATTTAGCTCTAGGTAAAGTCAGAAACTGCTCTCCCACAAACAGACTTTCAGCTTCTCCAGTGGGGGCGTGTGTTCAGGAGAGGAGGGTCTCTCTTTCCCACTTCCACTGTTAGGACACTCACAGTATTTGGGGTGTCTCCTGGGTCCTACAGGGGCAGTCTTCTTCCTTCAGAGGGTCTGTGGTTCCTCTCGGGATTGCTGGTTTGTTCCTGCAGTCAATCTGGAGCTAAAATTTACAATGCAAGCCCCCGCATGCTGCTCTATCCGGATCTGCAATCTAGTCCTGCCTCCTGTCCACCACGATCCTGAAATCCACAAGTTCAGGATTTCAAGACCACCCAGGGCAACATGGAAAAACCCCTCTCTACAAAAAATACAGAAATGAGTATGGTGGCACATGCCTATAATCCCAACTACATGCCCAAGAGGTCAAGGATGCAGAGAGCTGAGATGGTGACATTGCACTCCAGCCTGGGTGACAAAGTGAGACTAATTTCAAAAACAAAAACCAAAAAACAAAGCTGCTTTTTTTGTTTTTAATTGAAATGCAGTCTCAGTATGTTGGCTGTGGCAGTCTAAAACTCCCAGCCTCAGGCAGCCCTCCTACCTCAGCCTCTCAAACTGCTGGTATTATAGGCTTGAGCCACCACCCCTGGCCTTCTTATTTAAACTATAGTAACAGTTTTGGTTTGGGCCCTTCGGCTCACTTCTACATGTCACCAGTAAGAGCCCAAAGGTTGGGTGTACCTGTACCAGAATGAACTACCAATGACAAATAAAGAAAATATCTTCCAAAGCACTATTTTCACCATTTGCATCTTTTCAAACAAGAAAATATATTAAAGAAAAAATGATTTGCATGTACTTCGAAATCATCACCTCTCAACTCACTCCATTCTCATATGAGAATTCATAGAATGAGTAGATGTACCTTGTGGCAAGCATAAAGTAAGTGTTCCATAAATGCTTTAGTAGCCATATTTTCAGGGTTAGGTTGCATTATAGGAATTCATTTTTAAAAAATTAAGATACAAGAGGCCGGGCACGGTGGCTCACTCCTGTAATCCCAGCACTTTGGGAGGCCGAGGTGGGCAGATCACCTGAGGTCCAGGATTCGAGATCAGCCTGGCCAACATGGTAAAACCTCCTCTCCACTAAAAACACAAAAATTAGCTGGGCGTGGTGGTGTGCACCTGTAATCCCAACTACTCAGGAGGCTGAGGCAGGAGAATTGCTTAAACCCAGTAGGTAAAGGTTGCAGTGACCTGAGATCATGCCACTGCACTCCAGCCATGGAGACAGAGTGAGACTCTGTCTCAAAAAAAAATTTAATTTAATTAATTAATTAATTAAGATACAGTTTACAAGCATTGTAAAATGTCATGTTCTGATATAGATGTACATTGTGAAATGCTTAAATTATATGAATCCTAATTAATGTGACATTTATGGGATGACTCCTAAGGCTCTGTGAGACCAGTAAAATCATATGCAAAACTGCTTGGCTTAATGTATTTATCCAGGGGGAAAACCACACCTAATTGCTCTTAAAAGAAATTTATGGTCCCTGTGCCTCCAAGAGCTTAAATGTTAATGCCATCCTCAAGCTTCTTTTCACAATATAATCAACAATTCAAAAGATCCTTTTGAGCCATTCAGTCTATAATATCCCAAACTACCAATTTTCTAAACACTAGTTATTGACTAGCTAATCAAAAAGTCAATTATAAATAGACTCACAATCATTCACTATTTGTTGCCTAATAAAAATGAATCATTAAATAAAACTATAATTTGCTTAACTTGGGGTATTATTTGTTTAAAATAAAATATCAGGATCTTGCCTTCTACAAGCTCCAATTTTTTCAAGCATTAATAACTTCACATGATTATTTTAAGAAAAAAGACAAATACTTGCTATTTCATAGCAGAAACAAATGCTAGGATTAGAATCTGTTTTCTAAGATTATCAATTAATTAGTTAAGACAAAATATAAAAGAACTGGAAAGATCCTCATTACTTATGTAGAAGCATTTGGTGTTTGTCACCATATTTTCCAATAAGAAAAGACTGTTGAATTTTAGGAGTAACCAATGAGAAATAAGTGTAGGGCATCAGGGAGAAGGTGACTAGAACTGTCTTCACCTTCCAATTTTGCAATCTAAGAATAGAGTCAAGGGAGTTCTGGAAGTCTCTTTATGTATATTAGTGCTCATGCTCCAACTCAAAATTAAAAAAATTAATTGGATCCTATTAATTTCATTTTCACCATAAATTTTAAAGATAAGGCAAGGTAGCATACATGGGGCAAAACAGGAGCCAGTTCTGAAAGACAGTTTTTGTCTTCCCAGTTTCTACTGGTACCACAGTCCTTCAAGCCTGGACATACTAAAAACTGAATCATGAAAAAATAAAAAGAAAAACTTCATTTCAACTAGGTCCAGTGGTATTTGTGGTAAGGCAAGGGCCAGTTGTAATAAGCAATTTCATTTCAAAACTGCATGAATCTACAAATCTGGAAATGTTTAGCAATGATCAAAGTATGCTAAAATGTAGATTAAATTCACCAATATGCCAAGTTTGACATTTATTTTAGATTCTACTATTTAAGTAGTAGAAGTTGAATTTCTGTCACCAAAAAAAAAACTAATTTTGCTTTAAGTATGTAACCCGAAGTTGCTAAGAGAAATTCTGACTTCATCAAAATACATTTAATTTTGATTCTTCAGTCACCATCTACTTTTGGCTTGATGGTCATTCCTCTTCTGTTCCGACCCCATCCAATTAAATTGCAAAATGAATGTAAATGAAGACATAAATTTTAAATCCATTTGGTCAGCATTGCCACACAATCATGACATAACTGGTTTAACCTGCATAATTCTAAATTTAAATTTGTTCTCATTATATGCCCTCGTATACATAAAGGTCTGTATTATCTCTTCAGATAAGTTCTGGTCAGCATATATAAGAAAGAAAGCCAGCAAAATGTTGCCACTATATATATGCTTATCTTCCTCTATCATAATATTTCTACACATTAGGAACATTATGATATTCCTATGATATTAGAAACCAGCCAATAAAGAGCACTCTAAGTCCCTTTAAGAAGCCATGACAATACACAAAACAACTCAGCCTAATTTTTTAAAAATTTCATTATATATTCTTTTCTCCTTTAAAAATGCAAAAATGCTTTCCTAAGCTTGTCAGGAGCTGAAAAGATTAGAATAGCTTTAAATGAAAATAAGTAAAGAACTGGAAGATCATATTTTTCATAAGCATATTAGTCTTAATAGCAGAGCAAACTATGCTATGTTCTTCAAGTTTGTTCTGGCCAATAACCAGGCCAATCATTTAGGAAAAACAAAACTCACTTTAACATGGGTAAAAGCTACAATTGTAAAAATATAAGAGAAGAAGAAAAATCAGAAGAGTTGGAGACTTGAAGTCTGTAAGTCCTTGTGCTCACAACAGAAATACCAAGTAAACAACAATATACTGACCAAAGTAGTCTGTGGGAAATTTAGAAAGTAGTTACGGATCTTCTACAACTAACAAGGTATTCACTCAAGAAAAAGCACACTCATAATGGCAGGAAATTTCTACTGGTACCACAGTCCTTTGAGCCTGGAAATACTAAAAACTGAAACATGAAAGGCATTTTTGCTCGCTTTTGCCCCACCATCTACAACATGCAGTCTGGTGCAGTGACACCTTTTCCCAGTTCCTCTCCTCAAGACATAAGAAAAGGAGTGAAACTCATTTTCAAAGTGTTGGCTTGTCTGAGGGCTGCCCAAAGCACTATTAATAGTTTGTGCCTTGCCTGATTTAAAGCCTTTGAGAAAAACTGCAGCATAGTTTGGATATCAGTTGGAAGCTACTCACAACAATCCTGGGACTGAGAGCCTGAGAGCTACAGTAGATCCTGCATCCTGGGGCCCCAGTTACAGGAACAGGAACGTAATAGAACAGCGAGCTTTAAAGAAGCGGCAAGGGTATGACTCTGGGGGAAATAAAGACATTTAAAAGCAGCCACAATTGTGAGAAAACTGGGGAATAAGGCAAACATACAATCTCAGGTCAGCCACAGGTCTAGAAAAAAAAAAAAAAGCCTTAGAAAACCATTAGCCTTCATTCTGGGCTGATTACTGAAAGTCATTCCCTGCATAGTGCTAGTCTGCATAAAGAATAGGGAGGCAGCTGTTTTGTTTTTTTTGGTTTTTTTTTTTTTTTTTTTTGGTTTGTTTTTGTATTTGTCTCGCTCTGTCGCCCAGACTGGAGTGCAGTAGTTCAATCTCAGCTCACTGCAAGCTCCGCCTCCCAGGTTCAAGCCTTTGTCCTGCCTCAGCCTCACGAGTAGCCGGGACTACAGGCGCCCGCCACCATGCCCGGCTAATTATTTTTGTATTTTTAGTAGAGACGAGGTTTCACCGTCTTAGCCAGGATGGTCTGGATCTCCTGACCTCGTGATCAGCCCGCCTCGGCCTCCCAAAGTGCTGGGATTACAGGCGTGAGCCACCACGCCCAGCCAAGGCAGCTTTTTTTAAATGCTCAATTTATAACAAAAGATCTCAAAGGATACAAAGAATCAGAGAAACATGGCTCATTCACATGAAGCAAATAAATCTCCAGAAAACAACCCTAAAGAAAAAGTAAGGCCTCAGACTTACTTGGTAAGACATTGTCTTAAATATTCTCAAAGACCTAAGGGAGAATATGAACAGAAACAGAAGTGAATCCCAAAAAACAAAAAGTGACAAATTTTTAAAAAGAACTAAAAAGATATTCTGGAGCTGAAAATATAATGACAGCATTGAAAAATTTATTAGAAGGGTTAAACAAACCTGAAGAAAAAGATTCAGCAAACCTAAAGAAAGATTATTTGAAATTATCAAGCTGAGGAACCAAAAGAGAAAAGAATGAAGACAAGTGAACAAAGCCTATAAGATTTATGGATAGCATCAAGCAATCCAATATATACATTATGAAAGTCCCTAAAGGAGGAGATACAAAATAAGGATTACAGGACTTCTTTGAATAAATAATACCCACAAACTTCCCAAATATGAAGACAAAGATATACAAATACAAGCACTCAAAGAAATGAAAGTATGAAAAACCCAAAGAGACCCACTCAGAGAAATATTATAATCACATCTAAAGTTATAAACAAGGAACTGAATGTGATGACACATGCCTGTATTCCCAGCTAGTCAATAGGCTGAGATAGGAGGATCAATTGAGCCAAGAGTTCCAGTCCAGACTGGGCAACAGAGAGACACCCTGTCTTAAAAAAAAAAAAAAAAGAAAGAAAGAAAAGAAAAAAGAAAGAAAATCACAGATACAGAAAATCTTGAAAGCGTCAAAAGAAAAGTGATTCATCATATACAAAGAATTCTCAATAAGATTATTAACACCAAAAACAAAACAAAGGGATTACCAGCAGATTTCTCAGGAGAAACTTTGCAAACCAGAAGGCAGTAGGGTAAACTATTTTAAGTGCTGAAAGAAAAAAAAAAACTGAGAATTCAGTATGTAGCAAAGTTATTCTCAAAAATGAAAGATATTCTCAAAAATGAAAGATAAAGACTTTCCGAGATAAAAACTGAAGAAGGTTCATTCCCACTACAGCTGTCCTATAAGATATCAAAAGAAAGTCTTCAAGTTAAAACAAAAGGATGCTGGATAATAACCTGGAGTCATATGAAAATTACAAGTTCTCTGGTAAAAGTAAATGCACAAACATCAGAAACAGTATTATTGGAATTTTGATTCATAATTCCACTTTTCATTTTCTTTTTTTTTTTGAGACGGAGTCTCGCTCTGGTCACCCAGACTGGAGTGCTCTGTCACTGTAAGCTCCACCTCCCAGGTTCACGCCATTCTCCTGCCTCAGCCTCCCGAGTAGCTGGGACTACAGGCACCCGCCACCACGCCCGGCTAATTTTTTTTGTATTTTTAATAGAGATGGGATTTCACCGTGTTAGCCAGGATGGTCTCGATCTCCTCATCTCATGATTCATCCACCTCGGCCTCCCAAAGTGCTGCGATTACAGGCCTGAGCCACGGCACCCAGCCCACTTTTCATTTTCTATAGTATTTAAAAGACAAAGTATGAATTATAAATCTATGTTAACAGGTATACAATAGATAAGGATATAAAATTTGAGACCTTAATAATAAGGGGGAGCAGCAAGCTATAAAAAAAGTTTAAAATAAGTTGTTAGGGCTGGGCGCAATGACACATCTTACAAACCCAGCACTTTGCAGGCCAAGGTGGGAGGATCTCCTCAGTCTGGAAAGTAGAAATTACAGTAAGTCATGATTGCACAAGCTGCACTCCACCCTGGGCACTGAGTAAGACCTCATCAAGTGAGACCTCATTTTTAAAGATTAAAAAATAAAATAAAATAAATAAAAACAGAAAAACTAAACACTAAAAGTAAACTTGTACTAAAAGTAAGTAAAACTTAAAAAATAAAACAAGCTGTTATTAACTTTTAAGATGTATGTAAAGCTCATAACTAGAAAGAAGTATCTGTAGAATATAATAAAAGGAAGTGATAGAGAAATTGAAAGTCACTACAAAAAATGAGCTAAACCAGAGAGTAAGAGAGGGGAGAAAAATGAGGAGCAAAAAATGTGTACAATACAGATGAAATATCCCTAATAAAAAAATCCAAAACTCAAAATCTGTACAATCTAGAACTTTTTGAGTGCCGACATGATGCTCAAATATGCTTACTGGAGTATTTCAAATTTTGAATTAGGATGGTCAAGCATTAACTACAACAGAAATATTCTAATATCAAAAAAATTTTTGAAATCTAATACCATTCTGGACCCAAGCATTTTGAATATGGAATATTCAATCTGTTTACACAACTCAAATAATAAAACAGCAATCATACATTCTTCAGAAGAGTAATTACGTTAACTGTGTAAACTTTCTAATGAAAAGAATTACTAAAGAGATTAAAAATCAAGAAAAAACTACATACTTTCTAAAAGAGACTAACTTTAGATGCAAAAGCACACAAAGGTTGAAAATGAAAGAACAGAAAAAGGCATTTCATTCAAACAGTAACCAAAAGAGAAGAGGACAACTATTCTGCTATCGCATAAAATGGATGTTAGCATAAAAACTCTTACAAGGCAAAAAGAAAGATATTATATTATGATAAAGAGATCAATTTGCCACAAAGATATAAGAATTACAAACATGCATCAAACATCCGAGTTCTAAAATACACAAAGCAAACATTGACAGAATCAAAGTGATAAATAGCGCTACAATAAGAGACTTCTATAACTTTCAGTAACAGGTACAACATTCAGACAAAAGATCAATAAGGAAATAGGATCATGAACAACACTGAACACCAAATGGATCTAAAAGACTTATGTAAGTCTCCACCCGACATATAACAGGATTATATACATTTTTCCAAGTGTAAATGAAACATTTTCCAGTACACACCATGAATCAGACCACAAATCACACTTTCATAAATTTAAAATGATGGAAATTGCACAATTTCCGATTTTATTTCTGATCATGATGGGATGAAAACAACAACAAAAAAACAATAGAAGGACAACTATTAGAGAATCTACAAATATGTGGAAATTAAACAATACACTTAGCCAATGAATAAATCATAGAAGAAATCATGAGAAATTACAAAATATCTTGAGACAAAAAGAAAATGAAAACACAACCTACCAAAATATGTGGGCAGATAATACTGAAAGCAGCTAATACAATTACCATACAATCCATCAGTTCTATTCCTGGGTATATATCAAAATCATTGAAAACAGGGTCTTCAAGAGATACTTGTATACCCACATTCATAATAGCTTTATTCACAAAAGTTGGAAGGTAGAAGCAACCTACATGTCCACTGACAGATACCTGGATAAGCAAAATGTTATATACATAGAATATTAGTATTATTCAGTTTTTAAAAGGAAGGAAAATTTTTGGTTTGTTTTTCTGAAATGGAGTTTTACTCTGTCGCCCAGGCTGGAGTGCAGTGGCGCGATCTCGGCTCACTGCAAGCTCCGCCTCCCGGGTTCACGCCATTCTCCTGCCTCAGCCTCCTGAGTAGCTGGGACTACAGGCGCCCGCCACCATCCCCGGCTAATTTTTTGTATTTTTTTAGTAGAGACGGGGTTTCACCGTGTTAGCCAGGATGGTCTCGATCTCCTGACCTCGTGATCCGCCCGCCCCTTCCTCTCAAAGTGCTGGGATTACAGGCGTCAGCCACAGCTCCCGGCCTTACAATATAACTTTTTAAGACTATAAAGCAATAATTCAGATACTTCTTTGTGTAACACTTTTATTTTATTTATTTATTTATTTATTTATTTTTCGAGACAGAATCTCGTTCTGTCACTCAGGCTGGAGTGCAGCCGCGCAATCTCGGCTCACTGCAACCACTGCCTCCTGGGTTCAAGCAATTCTCCTGCTTCAGCCTCCTGAGTAGCTGGGATTACAGGCACGTGCGACCACACCTGGCTAATTTTTGTGTTTTGTTTTAGTAGAGATGGGGTTTCAACATGTTGGCCAGGCTTGTCTGGAACTCCTGACCTTGTGATCCTCCCACCTCCGTCTCCCAAAGTGCTGAGATTATAGGCATAAGCCACCATACCAGACCTATGCAACATTTTAAAATTGTTCAAAGTCTAAAATTTCATTTGAAAAGAATTCTCTCGTAATAGTGAGAAGACAAAAAATCCTTATTTTCTTATTATTACTATTTTTAAAAAATTGAGATGGGTCTTGCTGTGTTGCCCAGGCTGGTCTCAAACTGCTAGACTCAAGTGATCCTTCTACCTAGGCCTCTCAAATTGCTGAGATTACAGGCGTGAGCCACCGTGCCTGGCCTAAAGATCCTTTGTTTTAAAAATGTGTTCTAATGCAGGAAATGTCCATTCATGCTGAGTAATATATTCCATTGTAAAGGTCTTTGAAGGCTTGATATTATTTATGCTGCTGCTGCTTTCTCTTCTTCTTTTCCTTCTTGCTCCTCCTCCTCCTCATTCTTTCTTCTGCTGCTTCTTCTTCTTCTCCCTTTTCCTCCCTCTTCCTTCTCCTCCTTCTTTCTTCCTTCCTTTCCTCCTCCTCTTTCTTTCTTCTTCTTCTTTTTTTTTTTTTTTTTTTGAGAAAAGGTCTGGCTCTGTGACCCAGGCTGGAGTGCAATGGCACAATCTCAGCTCACTGCAACTTCCACCTTCTGGGCTCAAGCAATCCTCCCACCCTAGCCTTCCAAGTAGCTGGGGCACATGCCACCACACCCAACTAATTTTTGTATTTTTTGTACAGATGGAGTTTTGCCATGTTGCACAGTCTGGTCTCGAACACCTGACCTCAAGAGATCCACCCACCTCAGCCTCCCAAAGAGACTTATTATTTTTTGAGACAGGGTCTCACACTGTTGCCCAGGCTGGAGTACAGTGGCCTGATGACTGCTCACTATAGCCTCAACCTACTAGGGCCAAGCAATCTTCCTACCTCAGCCTCCCAAGTAGCTGGAATTACAGGTAAGCCCCATCACATCTTGCTAATTTTTAAATTTTTTGTAGAAATGGGATTTCTCCATGTTGGCCAGGCTGATCTCAAACTCCTAGGCTCAAGTGATCCACCCCCCTCAGCCTCTCAAAGTGTAGGATTGCAGGTGTAAGCCACTGTGCATGGCCTATTTATACTTTTTTTTGAGATGGAATCTCGCTCTGTCACCCAGGCTGGCGTGCAGTGGCACGATCACTATGCACTGCAATCCCCACCTCCTGGGTTCAAGCAATTCCCTGCCTCAGCCTCCCCAGTAGCTGGGATTACAGGTGCCCAACACCATGCCTGGCTAATTTTTGTATTTTTAGAAGAGATGGGGTTTCACCATCTTGGCCAGGCTGGTCTTGAACTCCTGACCTCATGATCCACCCACCTCAGCCTCCCGAAGTCTGGGATTACAGGTGTGAGCCACCGTGCCTGGCCTTTTTATACTTATTTTTAAACACACTGGAAACACTAAGATCATAACAGAGGAAATAATAAAATCAAGTATCTATAAACCACCACAGAGCCAGATTATTTTCACAAAAGGCAATGAAACTTAACCTTTTAAATATTAATATAAATTAGATACTTATACTAATGTAGCTGATGATAAATGATGACAGATCTTGGGGCAAAGAATTCATGGAAGGCTTCATAAGGAGGTAGATAGTAAGAAAAGAACAGAGGCCAAGCACAGTGGCTCATGCCTATAATCCCAGGATTTTGGGAGGTTGAGGTGGGAGGACTGCCAGGAGTCTGAGGCCAGCCTGGGTAATACAATGAGACCCTGTCTGTACAAAAAATAATTTTAGCCTGGCATGCTGGTTTCTGCCTGTGGTCCCATCTACTTGGGAGGCCAAGGTGGGAAGATTCCTTGAGCCTGGAAAATCAAGTTGGCAGCAAACTATGATGGCACAGCTGTATCACAGCCTAGGTGACAGAGATTCCATCCCTCCCTATTAAAATGAAGAAAAGAAAGAAAGGAAGAAAAAAGAAGGAAGGGAAGGAAGAGAGAAAGAAAAGAAAGAAAGAGGAAGAAAGGAAAGAAGGAAGGAGGGACGGAGGGAAGAAGGGAGGGAGGAAGGAAGGGAGATGGGAGAGGAGGGGAGGGGAGGAGAGCAGAGGGAAGGAAGAAAGAACAGGCAGAGAGCCAAGTGTGACTTGATTCTGGAATAATGAAAACATAGAAAAATTCAATGAGGGGCTTATATTGGGAAAAAACAGGAAAAAAAAAGGTTAGTTTGAATCAGGCTTTTTTATATGGGCCTGAAATACTAGGGAGAGGTGAGAAACTACTATAAATTATTGAGAATAGTATGAAGAAATTGCTAAGTCCTAATAAGGAAGGAGGAGTCTGGCTGGTGGGACAGAAGAAAGGCAGAAAAAGAAGGCAGATAAGCTATAAGTCTACCTTTCTTCATTGTTTCAGGATACACAGCCCTCCTGGACAAATAATCCAGTCTTTCTGCAGCTTTCTGCAGCTATGACCAGACCCTCAGCTGATAGAAAAATGCAAGTTAGCTCAGTGCAACTTTGGTTGTGGTGTTATCAATACTGCACAAAGCCCTCTGCAGTACACAACATAAACACTGTTCCAAAAAATTCTCAGCAAGCCTTTGTTTCCTTGCAGTAGGGTCTTTTTGCTGCCCTGCTTGTTGCATCCTTGCAACATAGTTCCATACTTTTCCTAATAAATCTGCCTTTCTTATAACTGTTTTGGTAAATTCTTCTTACTACCTGTGTGATACCAGCCCTAGACAGTAGCTGATAAGCAATGACATTTTGGGGGTCCATACAGGGACTCTCCTTACGGGGAACGCACTTGCCTTTCTCTTTCCCAACTCAGGATCCTCAGTGAACAGCACCTAAGCACAGAGACAAGTGAACATCTCTGGCTGAAACTACATTCCAGTGGGACTGAAAAATGTTCGTGTGGAAGCATCTGACCACCAATGACCATGCAGGTGAAGAACCTAAGATTATTTTGTGTTTTAAGTCTTGCAACAGCTGGCTTCCAGTATCCCTCTGGCAACTATAGTAACTGCCCTGTTTTCTGTTGTTGCATGAAGGCCAAAGTGTGAACAGAGCTGACTGCCTTGCCTAAAAAGGACTAAAACTCTATTCTATCTTTTGTAGTAGAAAGTCCCTAATCCCTACAAGGGATGTGACTGACAGCAGAAGCTCATTCAGAGTTGTTTTAGGTGACTCAGACTCTCTCTTTCTCATTCTGAATTCTCTTCTTGAGTAATTCAGCCATCCTGCTCTAGACGTTACTAAATCAGGTGATCTCAGACAACCTCCGAACAAGGAGTCTTCCCTCACCCGCTCCATCTGCTGGCCTAGCACAGATTGAGTACTCTGTGTACCCATTTTCCTCACCAATCACCCAGCATAAGGCTCCTGAGCAGCCAAGAGATCTTTTCCAATAGGAGGAATGCCCCTTTAGAAAATGTACCCAAGTCCCTCAGCAGACACAAGTGAAATGCTCTTCACCTCGGCAGGAAACCCAAAAAAAACAGCGGTTCATGAAAGCTCCTGAGCAGTGTGTTTTCCAGTCCCATGATGGGACAAAGCCTATCTATTCCTTCAGACTCACCTCTTGGCAATGTTCTAAAGCATTGTGATAAATTTGACTCCCAAACCCTCAAATAGAAATGTCTAATTTTCTTGTGTAATACAGCATTGTTCCTATGCAGAAAATCATTAAAGTAGTTTCTGTAGTGAGCCAGCAAAGGAATCGTGACCAACTCAGCATTCCACTGGAGGCTATATGATCAAACAGGAAACTGTTTATCACGAGTGCAGGATGTGGGCAAACTCACACTGCGCCTGCTGCCAAAAGGTTTGCTGAGGGCAGTCACTCCCTGGCACCAGTCTCCTTGAAGTTATCTGCTGGGAAATTTAGCACCTATTGTTTCAAGGATGCAGTCTCGCAAGCCAGCTGTAAACCAAATGGCTGACTGACAATTACCTGACAATCACCACCACCACCACCCCCACACTGGCCCCCACCGCTTTCTCATTATCTCTTTTACCTAATAAATTCAGAGGGCTGAAAAAGCTCTGGGCCCTTGTCCACTAGAGGCAAAGCGCCCCCAAACCCTTCTTCCAAATACACTCTTTTGTCTTTGTCTTTTATTCCCACGTTCATCCTCCTTTGTTCAGTCCCACAAGGTCCGTGCAGGTTACAAGTGGCGTCCGGACACAGGACTTCGAGGATGTAAATGAAGAAGGTCTGCTGGAGCAGAGGAACTGAAATTGACAAGGTGAAGGGGGACCCCAGGATAAATCTGCCAGCAGCAGATATAACATCAGTGCCCTAAAGAGGTACTGGGAGCAGTGCTTTAAAGAAATACTGGGAACGGGAAGTTTTCTGAATCAGGGTAACATGGGGCAGAATTTGTCTATTGAAGAAAAATATTATGTGCAGTTGCTTAAAGTTTTGTTGAAACAAACTGGTGCTCAAGTTAGTTCTCAGACATTAACATGCTGCAGGAGGTTATTAGGCGTAATTCATGGTTTCCACAGGCAGGCACTCTTGATACGGAAAATTGGGACAGAGCAGGAAAAGAATTAAAACAGGCCCATCAAAAAGGTCTTAAAGTTGATTCTTCTGTTTTTTCCACTTGGAGTTTAATTCATACTGTTCATCTATCAATATGTCCTTATTATTCTGCAGGACAGCATGCTGAGTCTAAAAATCTGAAAGCATCTGTTGTCCCACCCACAACATTGACTGAAAATTAAAAACAGAACAGGGAGGATACCTATACCACAGGGAGGATTGGCCTATACCCCCTTCTCCAATTGCAGAAACATCTGTACCACCTCCTTCAATAGCAGAAATAGAAACCCCAATATAAAGAATTTTATGCTCTGCTGCCACAGCTGGGGAGTCCTTAGGAGCTTATGCTTTTCCTATTTCCATAAGGCCTGATCCAAACAATCCATAGCAGGTTATTCATGAACACACTCCACTAGAGTTTAAGTTGTTGAAGGAATTAAAAAGCAAGTGTGGTAAATAATGGCGTACAGAGTCCATTCACTTTAGGATTACTAGAATCTGCGTTCGGTGCTATGCATCTTTTAGCCTTTGATGTAAAACACTTGGCACAAACTTACTTGTCTGCTAGCGCATATCTGACATGGAATTTAAATTGGCAAGACATGTGTGCAGACCAGGCTAGACAAAATAATGCTGCTGGACACGGAGACATTACAGAGGATATGCTGTTAGGTAATGGCCCTTATTCAGACCTGGAGTGACAAATGGCACTCCCACACTTTGTTTATCTGCAGTGTGCAAAGGCTGCTAAAAATGCCTGGGCCACAATTCCTAAAGGAGGAGTCCCAGTACAAGCCTTTTTACATATCATGCAAAGGTCACAGGAGCCCTATTTGCAATTTCTTGCAAGATTACAAGAGGCAGTGAAGCATCAGATTCCTCATACTGAGGGTGCAGAAGAGCTAACCTTAACTCTAGCTTTTGAGAATGCAAACACGGATTGTAAACATGCACTAGCACCAGCAAGGTGTACACAAAACTTGGGAAATTTTCTCAGAGCTTGTCAGGATGTAGGAACTGAGCTTCATTGATCTGCAATGTTAGCGCAAGCAATGGCTAATTTAGCAGTTGACAAATCTAAAAGGAGCCAAGGGTCAAACCCTAAAATGGGAAAATGTTATAATTGTGGAAAAATTGGACATTTTAAAAAGGAATGCTGCCAGTTCTCAGGACAGAAAGGACCTTACAATGCAGTGTCCCACCCAGTGGGAAAAAAAAACGCCAGGACTTTGTCCTCACTGTTAACAAAGGAAATCACCAGGCTAATCAGTGCCACTCAAGATTTAATCAGAATGGCACCCCGCTGTTGGGAAATGAGAGGGGGGCCTGGACCCCGGCCCCTCAAACAATGAGGGCATTCCCAGTTCAGACCTCAACCCCATTTCAGGCATGGGTTCCTGGAGGCACATTGATTCCCTCACCCCAGGAGCACCAGGAAGTGCAGGATTAGATCTACCCCTCAAGAGAAAGAATCACATTAGTTGTGGGAGAAAAACCCATCAAAGTTCCCACTGGTTTTTGGGGACCTTTACCAGCAGGATACATGGGACTAATTTTAGGGAAAAGCCGTCTTAACCTACAGGACATTAATGTAGTCCCAGGAGTTATTGACTCAGATGAAGGAGAAATTCAAGTAGTTTTTGTTTGTTTGTTTCTGAGACGGAGTCTCGCTCTGTTGCCCAGGCTGGAGTGTAGTGGCACAATCTCGGCTCACTGCAACCTCTGCCTCCTGGGTTCACACCATTCTCCTGCCTCAACCTCCTGAGTAGCTGAGACTACAGGCACTCGCCACCACGCCCGGCTAATTTTTTTGTAATTTTTAGTAAAGACTAAAAATTACACTGTGTTAGCCAGGATGGTCTCGATCTCCTGACCTTGTGATCCGCCCACCTCGGCTTCCCAAAGTGCTGGGATTACAGGTGTGAGCCACTGTGCCCAGCCCTTAATTTTTTAAAGTACATCTCACATAATATAAAATTATTTTAAAGTGTACAATTCAATGGAATTTAATATGCTTATGATGTTATACAATCATCACCTCACTCTAGTTCTTAAACATTTCTATCACCCAACAGGAAAGCTCTTATCTACTAAACAGTTCTTTGTATTCCCCATCCCCTCTGCAGCAACCAGTAACCTACTTTTTTTTTTTTTTTTTTGAGACTAAGTCTCTCTCTGTCACCCAGGTTGGAGTGCAATGGTGCAGTCTCGGGTCACTGCAACCTCTGCCTTCTGAGTTCAAATGATTCTCCTGCCTCAGCCTCCCGAGTAGCTGGGACTATAAGCATGTGCCCCCACACTCAGCTAATTTTTGTATTTTTAGTAGAGGCAGGATTTCACCATGTTAGTCAGGCTGGTCTGGAACTTCTGACCTTGTGATCTGCCCACCTCAGGCTCCCAAAGAGCTGGGATTACAGGCGTGAGCCACCACGCCCAAAGGCCATGCTTTTTTTTTTTTTTTTTTTTTTTAACAGAGTCTTGCTCTGTCACCAGGCTGGAGTGCAGTGGTGTGAACTTGGCTCACAGCAATCTCCACCTCCCGGGATCAAGCGATTCCCCTGCCTCAGCCACCTGAGTAGCTGGAACTACCAGTGCACGCCATCATGCTCGGCTAATTTTTTGTATCTTAGTAGAGACAGGACTTTTAACACATAGGTTCTGCACTGCATCAGTTACCAATCCAACATGCCAAACTGACAGAGCTTTTAAAATCTTTTTTTTAATTGTTGTTGTTTTTGCATTGTCCAATTACCAGGCCCTACACTCCTGGCACCAATATAGTAAGAGTGTATGTGTAACAGAGAAAATCACTTTTATTTCAGGGATTGAGGACATTATTTATTTATTTCCTTATTAAAAGATTCTGCAGGAATGAGATTTTGGAGATCACACTATGTGAGTAGTAAGTCCACATTTTATTTTTTTTACTGGATACCTTTCTAGGAAGAATTGTCCTATAAAGAAATGAGGAATGAAAATGAAAATGAAGAAATTTTCATTTCTCATACTTGGCTGAATTTTTTACATTTGTTGCTAGGAGACCAAAGCCCTCTTGTGATATCATTGCTACTCAGGTTGGGAAACATCGTGATGGTTACTTTATCTGCCTAGGGCTTCTGAAGCAGCATTTGAAGCTGCAGGCTTGAAAACCATGCAGGCTGGAAGAGTAGCTAAAGAAATATTTATTTGAGATGGCACATGTTTCTTCAGAAACTCAAGATGTTTCTCCCAAAGATGAATTAACTGGTTCAGAAGCCTCCACTAGGTCTCCATTTTGTGAACACACGTTCCCTGGGGACTCAGACTTAAGGTCAATGATTGAAGAAAATGCTTTTCCGGTTTTGTCACAAGGATCCTTGATAAAAAGGCCACGTTACACAGTTTGTGTCTCTGAGCCAGATAAAGATAATGATTTTCTTTCTCTGACCTTTCCCAGGAAACTTTGGAAAATAGCTGAAAGTGACCAATTCAAGTCTATTTCGTGGGATGAGAATGGAACTTGCAGAGTGATTAATGAAGAACTCTTCAAGAAAGAAATTTTGGAAGAAAGGCTCTTTACAGAATATTGGAAACTGACAGTATGAAAAGCTTAGTTTGACAGCTCAACCTCCATGTATTTAGTAAAATTTGAGAGAATTTTCAAACATCTGCTTCTTTGGCCAACTTTCTGGCAGAAGAAAAACAAGTCTCTGTTTTAAGCAAAGTATTCAAAATATTTCAGTTACCACAAGTAGAGTATAATATATGATTTTATTTTATACATCAGTAAACATGCTAATACATGCAGTAAGACCAAATTTCAAAAATTATGTGAAATACTAAGGTTATTTAATTTTTTGAAAACATTGAGGACAACTTGAGCATTAAACTTTCAGTGTCTTAAAAAATTTTGCCAACAACTTTGAATCTTATCAGTGAACTCCAAATAAAGATACCAAAGCCACTAGTGAAATGTTACTGTCAATATATAACATGTTTTCACTTGACGGCTTTATTAATTGAATGCTTTTTTTCCCAAAAAGTGCATTCTTTTTTTTTTTTTTTTGAGACAGAGTCTCGCTCTGTAGCCCAGGCTGGAGTGTAGTGGCCTCGGCTCACTGCAAGCTCCGCCTCCCGGGTTCATGCCATTCTCCTGCCTCAGCCTCCCCAGTAGCTGGGAATAGAGGCACCCGCCACCAAGCCCAGCTAAATTTTTTTTGTATTTTTAGTAGAGATGGGGCTTCACCGTGTTACCCAGGATGGCCTCGATCTCCTGACCTCATGATCTGCCTGCCTTGGCCTCCCAAAGTGCTGGGATTACAGGCGTGAGCCACCGCGCCCGGCTGCGCATTCTTAAAAATAGCCAACAATGTGCATGCATTAGCTGATGACATTAACTGTGTGTGATAATACAGAAATCTGAGACTTTACACGTTAGATTTGTGATAATCGCTTGTCTCTTGGTTAAAAATGGCACTAAATCAACTTCTCCTTTGGTTTTAGTTAGAGTTCTCGTAATCCAAATTTCAAACATGACTGTCCCCAACTTTCAGTAAGAATGAAGAGTTGGGATTAAAAATCCTTCTCCTGTATCTACTTTATTTGCTGAAGATTTCAACAAGAAGCACTTTAGAGCAGGGTATAACATGGATAGTCATAATTCTGGCTTAGCTGCTGAAACTAGTGAAGAAAGTTCATTTCCAACCTCTACAAATTTAAATATGCCTCTAACAAGGAAGTATTGTGTCAGCTAGAGAATTGCTAGTTCAACTGACCCAGTCAGAAGCAGTTTTCCTCCTCCATCTTCAACTTCAGTTGGATCATCAGACCAAATTGCCACAGATCAACATGCTATTTTAAATCAGTTGACCAATATTCATATGCACTCTCATAGCAGCTACATGCAAACAAATGGACACATTGTGAATTTTGTTACAACCACAACTTCTCAATACCACATCACACCTCCCTTACAGAATAGCTTTTTGGGGCTGCCAGTGGAACAACTACTTTTCCAACCAGATATTTTGAGGTATCAGTCAATGAGGCTCCTTATCCTAACCTGCCACCAGCAGGCAACCAGTGGTTCCAAATGCCTATGACATTTGATACATCGGCTGCCTGTCTTTTCAGGCCATCTCATCAACCGTCTTCACTGGACAAATATCACCCTAATTACAACATATCTTCCACCAAAGGGGTAACAGATTATGCAGGACAACAGGGACTGAAATTTACATTGATAAAAAATTTTTAAATTCCTGCAATTCTCTTATTAAACAATAAAATTACATGTTTACCTTTATGGTTGCTTTTCCCTTATTTCTGAAAACAAGGTTAAGATTTCATAAAATGGTACTTTATTTCAGTGGTGGGCTATTATACTATTTTTACAACATATGTGGACTTTTTGATCATTCGACAGGAAATTTGACATGCCCCTTTGTAAGTTTATTTAGTTCTCTAAAGAGGAAAAAATAATAGAGTGCTTTAATCCATTTGCTGCTGCAACAACAGAATACCATTGACTGGGTAATTTGTAAAAAAAAACTCATTTTGCTCATGTTTCTGGAGGCTGGGAAGTCCAAGGGGCTGCATCTGGTGAGGGTTCCTTTACAACATGGCAGGAGGGCATCATACAGTGAAGGACTTGTGATAAACAGAAAATCAGGGCCAAACTCATCCTTTGATCCAAAGCCCACTCACACAATAACTAACTTATTCTCAAGATAATGCCATCGATCCAGTCATGATAGGTTGCACCCTCACAGCTAATCATTTCTTAAAGGTCCCACCTCCCAACACTATTACAATGGCTACAGAATTTCAATGTTAGATTTGGAGGGGACATTCAAAACCATGGCAGTGAGCAAGGGCAAAAAAAGGAACTGAAGCTAGCAAAAGGTAATAAGCAACTTCTCGAAGTCTGGCCTAAATCAAATGAGGGCCTAAATTAGGATGGCACAAAGGAAGGAACAAATGCACACATACACATGCACACACAAATAAAAACTCCGGAGAAAGCTTAACACACTATTTACTTCAGTATTTTCTCAGTTACATTTCCCTAGTTATTTTAAACTTGGATTTTAGTTGGCAAAGATCATCTTTATTACAGTTCATACCTAGCCAGCTCAGTAAACATGATCATCATTATTTGCATCATCACTTGAGTAACAAAGTTCACGTGATATTATACTCATGGACTGCATCACTGGCAGGACATGGTGGAATTTCACAGCTGGCATCAGCAAGGGCCATTTCTGACCTTCCGTCAAAGCATTCCAGCAGGTTTTTGCCTTTAATAACCTCCTGCAAGAGTCCACCTTTCACATTTTCCAATGCACATTTTCTTCTCTTTTTATTTATTTATTTGTTTTTTGAGACAGAGTCTCAGTCTGTCATCAGACCACAGTGCACTGGAGTGATCTCAGCTCACTGCATCCTCCACCTCTGGGTTCAAGTGATTCTCATGCCTCAGCCTCCCAAGTAGCTAGGGTTACAGATGTGCAGCACCATGCTGGGCTAATTTTTGTATTTTTATTAGAGACGGGGTTTCGCCATGTTGGCCAGGCTCTCCTGGCCTTAGGTGATCCACTCACCTTTGCCTCCCAATGTGCTGGGATAACAGCCATAAGCCAGCATACCTAGCCTCTAATGCACACTTTTATCACATTGGCTTCATGCTCCATCCAAACTCAGATTTAATTTCTTAAGTTGGCATTTAATACCTTCTAGATTTTGAGCCCAGGTCCTCAGGATGGCTGAATAAATCACTTCAAGATCTGACATTTGTCTACCTTTCAGCTTCATGTCTGTTTCACTACTGTTTATCTGGAGCAAGATTCAAACAAACCACTTTCGGCCATGCCCTTTCCCATCTTGTACCTTTTGCCCCATTTCTTTCCTGGAGATAAAAGACCCCCTCTCCCTCTTTGCCTACTTAAGACTCCTCCAGCACAGACATCACTCCTTCCAAGAGATGTTTCTTATCTATCACATTAATTTTCTTGTCTATCTGTCTGGGACACCCAGCAGTGACCTAACACAGTGACTGATATATATATGTATGTTTATATATATATATTTATTTATATATATGTATATATATATATATATTTATTTATATATATATATGTGTGTGTGTGTGTATCAGTAAATATTGACTATATGCTTAATCCCATTAAAATCTACTTTCATTGTCAAAAACAAACATTCATGGTGTTCAGCCATTACTTTTTCTCTTTGCTCTTCACCACAACCTTTCTTCAAGGGGTAGGCCAAAGCAGTGTTGGCTAGAGTTGGAACAATTTTGACTTAATGAAACTAGTGTCGCTGGTTATCAATTCAGCTATCAAGCTTTCTTTTTAGCTTCCAGTTATCTGACCACTATGCAAATGTGCACACTTTCGGCAATACCACCATAAAGGCTTCTTTCCTTTTATCTCATTGAAATGTGTTGATTTTCCCCTGCCTCTTCTAAAATTTCTTTTCTATCTTCTGCTTTGACTGGCAGGTCCTTGCCTGAAAGAACTAGCTGCATACTTACCATGCCTTCCTTTATTTGCAGCAAAGATTCCCAGTTGTTGTGCTGAAATGGATTACACTGGGGATTCCAGCTATGCAACTTTTCAGAAGCAGCAGAGTGGATTTTGTATACTGTAAAACTGCTGGTGTCACAAGCTAAAGCCTGACAAGATTCATCACTCAGCTTTCTGGAAAAGCTGAAGTTGGGATGGTGTATGGATTTGTACAGCCAGATTTCTCAGGCTGGAAACCTACTGCTGCCATTTGACCATATGCATATATTTTCAAATTGCACCTAAGTAGGAAAAGTTTGGAATGAATAATCCATGATCTATACAGGGAATCCTGATTCCTTATGCTGGCATACCATGACACAAAACAATGGTCATTTCACCTATGTCCACATGCCATTAAAATATAATACCACTTTTTAGTTTCCTTTTCTTTTTTTTTCTTTTCTTTGAGATGGAGTCTCACTCTGTTGCCCAGGCTGGAGTATAGTGGCACAATCTCCACTCACTGAAACCTCTGCCTCCCAGGTTCAAGCGATTCTACTGCCTCAGCATCCCAAATAGCTGGGACTACACGTACAAGGAAAAAGCCTGGCTAATTTTTGTATTTTTAGAGATGGGGTTTCACCATATTGGCCAGGCTGTTCTTGAACTACTGACCTTAGGTGATCCACCCACCTCAGCCTCCCAAAATACTGGGATTACAGGGATGAGCCACCATGCCCGGCCCACTTTTTAGTTTTCAAACTGCATAGGGTACTGTAGTAAACATGATTAAATGTTGAAGATGATTTTTTTTTTTTACAAAAAAAAGTCTGATGCCTAAAAGGATGAAAAGTGAACAGACTAACTTGGGTAAATACCAGGGGAACAAAGAAAAAAGAAAATCAAATTTTAGAAGAAGCAGGAGAAAGTAATGAGAGGATGGAAAAGGATGGGTTAAATGTGGAATACAATATTGTAAGGTTAAGGCAAGTGTCACACAAACAGCAACGGCAACAACATAACAAATGCAGGGAGGGGGAGACGAGGGGGAAGGAGGAAAGAGTAAACAAATGCAAAAAATAGTGGTCAACATGATTAGAATATGTGTCCTCAACCTCTGCAAACTCTTTATGTTCTGAGCAGTTTACCTTAGAAACTATCTTAGCTTCCTCTAAGATTCAAAGACACTGTACCTCCTTTTTTTTTTTCTTTAGATGGAGTCTTGCTCTGTCGCCCAGGCTGGAGTGCAGTGGTGCTATCTCTGCTCACTGCAAGCTCCGCCTCCAGGGTTCACGCCATTCTCCTGTCTCAGCCTCCCGAGTAGCTGGGACTACAGGCGCCCGCCACGATGCCCAGCTAATTTCTTGTATTTTTAGTAGAGATGGGGTTTCACTGTGCTAACCAGGATGGTCTCGATCTCCTGACCTCATGATCTACCCGCCTCAGCCTCCCAAAGTGCTAGGATTACAGGCGTAAGCCACCAAGCCCGGCCTTTTTTTTTTTTTTCTTTTTCTTTTTTGAGATGGAGTCTTGCCCTATCATCCAGGCTGGAGTTCAGTGGTATGATCTTAGCTCACTGCAACCTCCACCTCCCAGGTTCAAGTGATTCTCATGCCTCAGCTTCCTGAGTAGCCAGGATTACAGGCCTGCACCACCATGGGGATTACAGCCCTGCACCACCATGGCCAGGTAATTGTGTGTGTGTATTTTTAGTAGAGATGGGGTTTCACCACGTTAACCAGGCTGGTCTCAAACTTCTGACCTTGAGTGATCCACCTCCTTGGCCTCCCAAAGTGCTGGGATTACAGCCGTGACCCACTGTGCCCAACTGACACTGTACCTTGTAAAGTAGTCTGTCCCTATTTAGGTTAAATTCGTTGAAAGTTGTAGGGACCAGCCCCACAGGGTTGGTGGGTTTTCTCCTCATGTGCAGAGACAAGACAGTGTAGAAATAAAGACACAAGACAAAGAGATAAATGACAGCAGGGGACCACTACCACCAAGATGCGGAGACTGGTAGTGGCCCCGAATGCCAGGCTACACTGATATTTATTGGATACAAGACAAAGGAGCAGGGTAAGGAGTATGAGCCATCTCCAATGATAGGTAAGGTCACGTGGGTCACATGTCCACTGGACAGGGGCCCTTTCCTTTCTGGCAGCCAAGGCAGAGATAGAGAGGAGAGAGAGACAGCTTACGCCATTATTTCTGCTTATCAGAGACTTTTAGTACTTTCACTAATTTGCTACTGCTATCTAAAAGGCAGAGCCAAGTGTACAGGATGGAACATGAAGGCGGACTAGGAGCATGACCACTGAAGCACAGCATCACAGGCAGAGGGTTAGGCCTCCGGATAACTGCGGGCGAACCTGGCTGATGTCAGGCCCTCCACAAGAGGTGGAAGAGCACAGTCTTCTCTAAATCCCCCAGGGAAAGGGAGACTCCCTTTCCCAGTCTGCTGAGTAGCAGGTGTTTTTCCTTGACACTGACGCTACTGCTAGACCAAGGTCTGCTTGGCAATGGGCATCTTCCCAGATGCTGGCATTACCACTAGACCCAGGAGACCTCTGGTGACCCTGTCCGGGCATAACAGAAGGTTTGCACTCTTGTCTTCTGGTCACTTCTCACTACATCTCCTCAGCTCCTATTTCTGTATGTCCTGGTTTTACCTAGGTTATGATTACAGAGCGAGGATTATTATAATATTGGAATAAAGAATAATTGCTACAAACTAATGATTAATGATATTCATATATAATCATATCTAAGATCTATATCTAGTATAACTATTCTTATTTTATATATTTTATTGTACTGGAACAGCTTGTGCCCTTGGTCTCTTGCCTCGGCACCTGGGTGGCTTGCCATCCACAGAAGTGTTTTAACAGCAAAAATTACTTTGAATTTTCTGCCCAAAAGGAACAGTACAAATGTTCTGCATCTTCAGTCATCACTTAAGTAATAAAATAGATGGAGCAAATGTACTTTTCCATCATACCATGAATACAATTAATATCCCTGGGTGTTATAACTAAAACAAGCATAAGACTTTGAAAATTGGAGCAAAGAGGTAAACTGCTGAGGGAACTTAAGACCCAGCAAATGATAAAAAGGATGAGTTCCCTGGATTTTGTTTTGGCTTCATGTTATCACATAGTTGGTCCTGAAGGAGCTGGTACCCAAAAATGTAAAGAGGCACAGACAAAAATGTTCTCACAAGCCCGCCTTCTCTAGCCACAGGGCTAGGAAAAAGACATCTTACTAAGACAAAAAGCTTTTATACAATAGCCACCCTACTTTAGCCAAACAACACACACAAAACAAGGCAAAACAAAAAACCTACCCAAGCCAACAAAGTCCAAGTGCAAACATCCATTCTATAGGCAGTAATGAAGCACCCCAACCCTCTGCTGGAGTGGAATCAGAGAAGACAGCATAGAGAACTAGAGTTTTCGTGGTAATAAGACATCCTTCCCTAGGAGGTGCAAGTAAGGCCTTGTGTGACACTGGAAACTGCATATTCGTTTATCAGTAATGAGGAGCCTTACCTTGGGTGTCAAAGGAAATGAGGAAGGGAATTTGGAATTGTGCATCTACTAGACAAGCACACCCTTTCCTCTATTAGGGTGGTATTAGATAAAATCAGCTAAAAATGAACATCATAATAAGGTCCAGAGTCTCCTAACAGTCCCCTAAATGTTCAAGTTTCAAATAAAAATCACTCATAAAAATCAAGCAATAGGAAAGCCTCCACCTCAAAGAAACAACATGATAAATGTCAATACAGAAATGTCAGTGTTATCAGGAATATCTGAGAAAGATTCCTAAACTGCCATCATAAAAATAATTAAATGAAGAATTATGAACATGCTTAAAACTAATGAACAAGTATAAAGTGTAAAAATTACAGGTTTCAGCAAAGAAAAGGAAATTTTAAAACTAAAAACTCTACTATAACAAAAATTATGTAACACAGTCTGAGATCATCATAAATGTATGTAGAGAAAATATATAAGGCAAGTATAAAACGGGAAATGATAAAGGGACTAATAGGAGGTAAGGTAAATTGATGTCAGTAGACTGTGACAAATTATGTTTACACAATGTAATACCTAGAAAGACAACCAAAAAAGGCATATCTTTATATCTCTTCAGGTATACTAAAAAAGATAACAAATACATCAAAATGAATGTCTCAAATCTCTTCAAATAACCCACACAAAGGACAAAAAATAAAACTCGGGAGAAAAAACAAAACCAGCAGACAGAAAATGAACAGCTATTGTGGCATGACAGTTCTCGCTGACAGTCATACACACAGGCCTGTGCAACACCCTAGTTACAGACAAATTTCCATAGCACTGCCTTAACGTTGAGCAGAGTTAAACCTACAGAAATCAGTGCCCAGACATCAAAGCTAGAAATGAAGCATATGGTCATTAGGAGCCTGGCATGGGCTTCTCCCTAACCTGGAGCCAGCCAAGATAATAGAGACAGCCTTACATTCCTAGTGCCAGTATCCGTTTCTGGTCAACAAAACCTGAGATGAGTCAAGGTAACAGAGGCAGCTGTTTGAATGGATTCACTGGAGAGTCTAAGGCACCTCTCCAGATCAAGCTCTAAAAGGACATAAGATACAAATAATCACTGCTGTACCACAGTAGACAGCCCTTGAAGGCACTGGGGCCCTTTGAATCAGACTTAGCAAGCCTTTTTTTTTTTTGGCCTCTGACCTAATTGAAACAAAATTTAGCTGCCAATAGACTTAGGCAAAAGCTATACTGCATGTAGGCACATAAGCCCAACCTATATAACCACCAAAAAATTGTAACACTTTGAGTTGGTCTCCTGGAATTATCTCATCTTCTCCCTGTATCTAGTTACAGCAATAAATTCCCTTCTTATGTAGTTTGTCTGCTTCTAGTTATTAGGCCATGAGAAAATGCAGCCAGACCTGGCTTGGTTCCAAGAAAACTATGAACATATCAAAAATTAACACTAAATGTAAACACTAAATCGTTTAAATGCACCAACTAAAATATGGAGATTAGCAGTGTAGATTTAACAACATGCTCCACATATTTACTATCTACAAGAAACTCACTTTCATATAAAAGTACAGACAGGCTGAAAAGTTCAAAAGTGAAAAGCAGAACAGGAGTGGATAGATATATTACCAGATAAAGTAGACTAGAGAAGATAAAATTATCAGCGATGTAAAGGATATTGTATAATGCTAAATAAAACAACCTAGAAGAAACAGCAATCTGAACTGTCCATGCAGCAAGAAACAGAACTGAAAATATGTCAAGCAAAACCTAAAAAATATAAAAGAAAAAGACAAATCTATTATAGTTCGAAAGGCCAACATCCTTTATCAAAAAAATTCACCAGACAACTAGAAAGAAAATCAACAAAAAAGAGACCTCTCAGTAACACCATCACCCAAAACCATCTAATGAACATTTATGGAACACTCTGCTAAATGCAAAATACACATTATTTTCAAGGTTCCTCTGCCATCAAACAAAACTCAACAAATAAAAAAGAATTACAATAATCCAGTGTGTTCCCAAACTACAACAAAACTAAAGTAGAAATCAGTAAGAAAATTATAACAGGAAAATCTCCATACACTGGGACGATTATCCCTTGGGTCAAGCAAGAATCCTTCAATAATCAGAGGGTTAAAGGAAAAGTGTCAAGAAACAATAAAATAATACATTGAGCTGGATAAATTTGAAAACACATTTCAGATCAGATGAAGGTAAAAGGAGAAGGCGTGCTGACAGGTAAAATTATGGCATTAAATTAAAACATGGGAAAAGAGAATACATTTCAATAATGTACACTTCCATTTTAATAACTTGTATAGAGAAGGGCAAAAATAATCCAAAGCAAGCAAAAGGAAAAAAAATAAAGTATACAAATCTATCAAATAGAAAAGAGAAACAATAGATAAAAATCAATGAAACAGGCTGGACATGGTGGGTCACCACCTGTAATCGCAGCACTTTGGGAGGCCAACACAAGCAGATCACTTGAGATCAGGAGTTCAAGGCTAGCCTGGTCAACATGGTGAAACCCCATCTCCACTAAAAATAAATACAAAATTTAGCCAGGTTGGAGGCAGGTGCCTGTAATCCCAGCTACTTGGCAGACTGAGGCAGGAGAATCACTTGAACCTGGGATGCGGAGGTTGCAGTGAGCCAAGAGTATGCCACTGCACTCCAGCCTGGGCAACACAGTGAGACTTCATCTTAAAAAAAAAAAAAAAAAAAGTCATTGAAACACAGAATGGTTGTGTAAAGATTGATAAAATTGACCAACCTCTTTCTAGTAAGACTGACAAAGATGAAGAAATAAATATCATGATCAGGATAAAACAGGGTATTCTGCTTTACAGACCCTATACACCTTACACACACATACATACACACTCAATATGGGAATACTATAAATAATTATACACACATAAATTTGAATCTTTGACAAAATGGACACATTTCTCAGAAAGCACACAGATGCTGGGCATGGTGGCTCACCCTTGTAACCTCAACACTTTGGGAGGCTGAGGCAGGAGGACTGCTTGAGCCCAGTTAAAAACCAGCCTGGGCAAAATGGTGAGACACCATCTCTACAAATAAGTTTAAAAAAAAAATTACCATGGTGTTGGGAGCAAGCCCCCCAAAATCTGGCCATAAACTGGCCCCAAGACTGGCCATAAACAAAATTTCTGCAGCAGTGTAACATGTTCATAATGGCCCTAACGCCCAAGCTGGAAGGTTGTGGGTTTACGGGAATGAGGGCAAGGAACACCTGGCCCACCCAGGGCGGAAAACCGCTGAACGACGTTTTTAAGCCACAAACAATAGCATGAGCGATCTGTGTCTTAAGGGCGTGTTCCTGCTGCAGTTAACTAACCAAACCTATTCCTTTAATTTGGCCCATCCCTTTGTTTCCCTTAAGGGATACTTTTAGTTAATTTAATATCTATAGAAACAATGCTAATGCCTGGTTTGCTGTTAATAAATATGTGAGTAAATCTCTGTTCGGGGCACTCAGCTCTGAAGGCTGAGACCCCTGATTTCCCATTTCACACCTCTATATCTGTGTGTGTGTGTCTTTAATTCCTCCAGCGCCCGCTGGGTTAGGGTCTCCCCGACTGAACTGGTCTCAGCACCCTGGCATGGTGGTGTGTGGCTGTGGTCCCAGCTACTTGGGATACTGAGGCAGGAAGCTCACCTGAGCTCAGGAGTTTGAGTCTATTGAGAGCCATGATTATGTCACCACACTCCAGACTGAATGACAGACTGAGACTTTGTCTCAAAACAAAACAAAAACCAACAGACACAGCACTTCCACCCATCGATAGAGATACTTTAAATTGTCCCATAACTATTCACAGAATTAAATGTATAATTTAAAATGTTGACTCCTAAAAAAAAAACTCAAAAGATACCATCTAAAGAAATAACATCAATTCTACCTAATCCTATGAAAAATAGAAGATAATCTACCATATATCTTTAAGAACATAATTCTACATAATCTCTGAGAAAACAAGAGTTACAGCAAACACATTCCTAAGAGAGAATTCCATAGCAATGAACACACACATCAAAAAACAAGGAAGGCCGGGTACACTGGCTCACACCTGAGTACCACAGGTAAGTGCTATGTTCTTGGGCAACATATAAATTGTAACCTCTTTTGAGTTTAGCTTTCTTTCCTCTAAACCACTTCAGTGATACTCTTTCATGTTGCTCAATGTTTTAGAAGTGCTTTCCTTTTTATTGCTTGTGTGGTTTGTTTATGCCATATATCCTTTAAACTACCTCTCCTGATTTTCTTGCATGTACTGTTAGATCTGCCTGACTGTATTCAGAACATATCCATATATGTAACTGTATGGATACGTACACACTAATTCTTCACAAGTGACATTGTGCACTGGTAGGTATTTGGTTGACTTTCTTACTAGAAAAGGAACTATTGAAGATGGTCAATTTCTAGAAGTTTCCAATGCCTGTTTCAACACAGCCATCCCTAAAATCAAGGTCTTGGGACCCTTTCCAGGAATACATAAAAAGTCACAATTATTTTCACATGCAAACATTACCTGCCCTTTTCACCACACTGATGTTTGCACTGAAGGTGCAAAGGCACTGGTGGTTGAGACTCCTGGCTTCCTACCACGAATGGATCAAGGCAGTAGCACCAAACTGAAGTCATTTGTAATTTTCAAGATCATACAAGCTCCCCTAAAAGTCAATAGTGCCAGGCGTGGTGGCTCACACCTGTAACACCAGAAGTAAATAGCACCAGGCGTGGTGGCTCTCGCCTGTAATCCTAGCACTTTGGGAGGCCAGGGTGGGTAGATCATGAGGTCAGGAGATTGAAACAATCCTGGCTGACACGGTGAAACCCCATCTCTACTAAAAATACAAAAAATTAGTGGGCATGGTGGTGGGTGCCTATAGTCCCAACTATTCAGGACGCTGAGGCAGGAAAATGTCGTGAACCCGAGAGGCGGAGCTTGCAGTGAGCCAAGATAGCACCACTACACTCCAGCCTGGGGAACAGAGTGAGACTCCATCTCAAAAAAAAAAAAAAAAAGAAAAAAAAGAAAAGTAAATTGCAGGTTTCACTTAAGTGTATCTCCAGCACACAGGGAGAATGCCATGTGAAGGCTAGTTACGCTGCCACAAGCCAAGGAACTACCAGAACTGTGAGAGGCCTAAAACAGATCCCTCCTATCCACTGAGGGAGCATGGTCCTGTCAAGACCTTGATATTGGACTTTTGGCATCCAGTATTAGGAGACAACTAATTTCTGTATTTATTTTTGCGATGGAGTCTTGCTCTGTTGCTCAAGCTAGAGTGCAGTGGCATGATCTCAGCTCACTGCAACCTTTCCCTCATTGGTTCAAGCGATTTTCCTGCCTCAGCCTCCCAAGTAGCTGGGATTACAGGTGCCTGCCACCATGCCTGGCTCCATTTTTGGATTTTTAATAGAGATGGAGTTTCACCATGTTGACCAGACTGGTCTTGAACTCCTGGCCTTGTGACCCACCCACCTTGGCCTCCCAAAGTGCTGGGATGACAGGCGTTCATGGCACCAGGGCTTCATTTGTCTTACCCATTTTGTGGCTCAGCAAACTAATACAAATGGGAAGCATGCATCTATCCCTTTTTTATGGAGGAAATCTATCAACATGCCATTAACTTGCATTCTTGGTTGACTCTTTATTCTACTGACTCACAAATGTCAATGCTCAGGGAGGCCTTGTGGACTGCCTAAAGAGGTCTCTATCCCAGTTCCATTTTATTTATTCAGACTTGTCACTGGCACAACCTTGCTTAGTTCTGCTTTTTAAATCATGAATTTCCCACACCTGAGCTCAAGCTTTAGTGTTTTCTATCTGTTCTGTTCAGTGCATGTCAAACAGTAGGTACTCAAAAAATATGTCTCAAGAATAGAGATGAGAAAGTAATGTTTAATTCAGGAATAGATTTTTTTCTATGGTCAAGTGTTGTTGACACTGATGGTGCTCATTCCTTTCTTATTCCGCTTTTCCTCCCTTCTTCCATCTGTCTCTTAGGGCTGGGATTAAGTATTTGGACTTGTTGCATTAAGAGTCATGGGCCCCGAGTTATTTGCATTTGGATGAGTGTGTTTTTATATCAGTTTGTCTCAGTTGCCGATAGAAGGTGAGTTCTTAGTCCTACGCTGCCACCCCTCCCGGTAGGAAAGAGAGCTGGGAGGAAAATTAGACCTTCAAAGCCTGAGCACAAAGGCCTGAGGGCTCCATCTCTGACAGAAAAAGGCTGTCAGGTCCTGGGCCTGCGTAGGGCAAAGATTAGGACCAATGTGCAGACATATACTTAAGAGTTTAAGATATCAAACAATGAAGGAGCGGTATTTTGTGAGGGCAAGACTTGCTGTCTTTGAGCCCCAGGGCAAACCTGAAAGAGACTAGGAAACAAAGTCATGGATTCACAGTGTAGCTCTTTGAGCTCACCAGCTAGTTAAAATACAGGAAGACCAAACTCAAATAATAGGCAGTGGATGGAGAAGGTTAAGTCAGATAAATATTTCTGGGATAAAATCCTCCAACAGAGGAGTGACAGTGGCAATGGATAGGAAGAAATTTACCCAGCTGGTAATGTTTGGTGGCTGATTAGTTTACTTACATATAATTTAAAATTCACCCACTTACAGAAAGGATTTGAGGGAGATGATGACATGAAGGTGAGGAATAAGGTAACAATAACCCTAGGTTCTCAAGTGTGATGAGGAAAGGGATGTCCTTACATCCTGTCCTTACATCAGGGAGGAAGGGCTGGTAAGAGAAGACATTTTTGAGCAACATATTCAGTTTTAGATTTGTCAGTCATAAGGAGATGAAGGGACACTGAAATAGAGGTGCCTATGAGACTACAATAAACACAGTACTCAAGAGAATTCTTATCCCACCTTCTTTCCAGTGTAGTATCTTCGCTGCACTTGAGTCAAAATTTTGATTATCAGCCAGGCACAATGCCTGACGCCTGTAATCCCAGTACTTTGTCAGGCCAAAATGGGTAGATCACTTGAGATCAGGAGTTTGAGACCAGACAGGCCAATTTTGTATACTAAAAATACAAAAATCAGGTCAGGCATGGTGGTATGTGCCTCTAGTCCCAGCTACCTGGGAGGTTGAGAGGCACAAGAATTCCTTGAACCCAAGAGGGGGAGGCTGCAGTAAGCCAAGATTGCACTAGTAAACCTTAACCTGGACACGAGTGAGACTCTGCCTCAATTTAAAAAAAAACAAAAACCTGATTATCACAGGTGCATGCACACATACATCTGGCTCTGCCAGGGCCTCCTAAGGCTGTGTCTCCAGGGCCCATGGGGGGATCACCAAGCAACGGCGATCCACTCCTGGAGGCACCCTGGCCCCCCTACACCCCTACTCCCCTCCAGGGTCGGGAACCTGTCAGAGGCGGGCACTGGGGCCACAGAACAACTTGCCAGATGTCACCCCTGCTCCCAATACCATCTCTGCACTCTGCAACCTTGGGGACCTGGGAAGGCACCCCTCGTCCCCCAGGATCAGGCTGTCTGCTCCCACTGCCCTCTCCTGGCTCCCAGAGCCTGCTCCAATCCTGGCTGAGGAGTGGAGCTGCCCCATGGGTCTCCTCTGAGCTGTCCTGTTGCTCAATAAAGCTCCTGTCTTGCTCACCCTCCACTTGTCCACGTACCTCATTCTTCCTGGACGCAGGACAAGAACTCAGGACCCACCAAATGTCAATCCTAATATACCTGTAACACAAAAGAGCTGATACATTCCCCTTGGTTGCCACATTGCAGGCAATGAGGAAAGAAGCCCTGCAGTACTCTGGGGAGCCAAGACCTGGGAGCTCCCTGAGCCAGGGATGTGGGCTCCCCATTTGAGGCCGTGCAGTTCCTGGCATCTCCAAGCTTCTGAGTGCTAACGTGTTCCCCAGAGCCAGCTGTGGAAGCTGTTGTGGTACACCTGGTCCAGCTGCAGCTTTACAGAGAGCCAGCACCCATCCTGGCACCTGGAGCTGCCTGCCCAGCGGCAGCAGCCAACATGTGTGACTGCAGTGGCCAGACCTCATGCTTGTTCACATACCCCTCCTCACTGCTCCACGCCTGGTTTGCCCTTGGCAGGCATGGGATCCAGGCCAGTATTATACGCCAAGCACAGCCTGCGATGCCAAGTGGGCAGAACGAGCCCAGCAGGCCAAGCAAAACTCAGGCAAAGGCGCCACCAGCCATAGAAGTTTCTGTAAGAAAACCAATATCCAAAGATCCTATAAATACGACATTAAAGTGACAATCCATGAGAATAAGAGGTTACTCTAATGGGCCCCCCTTAAGTGGAGAACCATTGCTGAATGGGTCAAAGAAAGACCAAAGACTCTGTATGTGAAGGACCTGACCTGCCACTGCTGGCTTTGAACAAGATGGAGAAATGGGACATTTAGGCAAAGAATGCACATAGCCTCCAGAAGCTGAGAAAAGCGCTCAGATTGTCAGTCAGCAAGGAAAAAGGGACCTCTTTCCTACAGCCACAGGATTTAATTTCTACCAATAATGTGAACAAGCAAGAAAACTAAGACCATCTCCCATAGCTTCCACAAAAGAATGCCGTCCTTTCTGAAATGTCATACGTTTTTTGTACTTCGTTTTGGAATGCTACTCCATCACTCTGCCCACAGAGATGGTGTGGGTAACATGTATGAGGGAAGCAAAGGTTTATTTACTGGAGGGTCAGAGGAAGTATAGGTGGTATTCCTAGAGATCTTAAGACAGTGCCAAAATCATGAGCAAATTCAAACCCTACTATTATCCACAAGGGGGAAAAAACACATTAAGAAACGAGAATTCACTGTTTATTTGTGCAAAGAAAAAAAGATATGCTGCTACTGCAATTTAGCCACTGCTCTGTTTGGTGGCCAGCCTCTTATCTCTCTCTTCAGCAACAGTAAGTCGAATGCCCTTTCCCCTGGGCAGGGAAATCCAAGGTTTATTGCCCTGCAATAGAAGAGGAGATAAAAGTAAGTACAGAAAGAAAGGGAGGAGAGAAAAACAACATCCCACCAAAACACACATGCCTCATACCTTCCTTCACATTAATAGCCAGCTAACAGACCACCACCCAACAAAATCTAAAACAAAATAAACACTTCCTTATACATGTCTCCTGAGAGGTTATCTGCCTCTCACAGTCCCTCCCACTCCTCACTGCTGAGCTGCTAAATAAAGGTCTTCCTGCTTCTATTTTATGTGAAGCAATCAGCCAACAAGTTTTTCATAAGCATCTTTAAAGGCAAGGCCACTAACTTCAGGTTCTCATAGTTTTGAAGTTGTGTACTGTCAGCACCCTATCATCAGCTTTACAGAACTTTTACATGCATTTACTCACTTCCCTGATCCCCTGCTTTCAAAGGTATAAACTGAGGTTTCATAATTCAATACTGAGAAGAAGAATGGCCCAACTATAGAGCTTCTGAGTGGCACAGCCAAAAAAACAACAGCAGGCTTCGCCTCTGTACCACTTCTCTCAAATATCCTAAGGACTGCCAGGGTACAAGTGAAAGATGCTGCTCCCGGGGCTGAATAGCTTGATGAAAAGCTTTTCAGTTGGCCAGGCGTCGTGGCCCACATCTGTAATCCCTGCACTTTGGGAGGCCAAGTTGGGTGATCACCAGGTCAGGAGATCGAAACCATCCTGGCTAACACGGTGAAACCCCGTCTCTACTAAAAATACAAAAAGAAATTAGCCAGGTCTGGTGGCGGGCGCCTTAGTCCCAGCTACTCGGGAGGCTGAGGCAGGAAAATGGCGTGAACCCGGGAGGCAGAGCTTGCAGTGAGCTGAGATCGTGCCACTGCACTCCAGCCTGGGCAACAGAGCAAAATTCCGTCTCAAAAAATAAATAAATAAATAAAAATAAAAAGCCTTTTCAATTATGTCCGTTGCCCTTTCCTTAAGTCTTGGGGCAAGTGACTCCCATGTAAGGATACTGCATGATTTCAGAGGTGCTCCTTCACTGAAAAGGTCTCAAAAGATCCCAGAGCAAGATCATCTTGAACAAGTAAACTAACAAGTGTTACGTGCCTTGTAAATGCCCTTATTCTCAAATTAGCAACTCACTCATAGCCCCCTTGCATCAATCTCCATCAACTCCATGTTCACTGATGAACTGTAAGATGGAGTCTCAGAGGGGTTTAGCAGACTCACTTACAAAATTAAGGGGGCACAGCACTACCAGGATTGGAGCCAGTGACCTTAATCCAGCCCATACCAGTGATGTAGCCCTGCAAAAGTTGCAAGGCTGAGTTTAACTTAATTTACTGAATGACACTGCTGGCATCTCACACAGACCACCTGAAGAGGCAGGTGTAAGGCTCTAGATCTAATCTTGTTTCTTCTCAGAGGCTCTAAATAGAGAGCTTGCTGCACTCTGTGAACCTTAACACTGGAAAAAGAACAAACAGACAAACACCAGTAGTGGATGCAGGTCTTTATGCTTTTTAGGATGAGTCTTCTTAGAAAGAAGTAAAGAGAGTGTAAGTCTTACATTGCCAATGACAAAAATGTTGGAAAGCCTCGTGGCAAAGCTGTTGCCATTGGCATCCTTCACATGCACCACATCAAAAGAACCAGGATGTCTTTCCCTGTTGGTGATCACACCAACACGACCGAGGTTGGCTCCACCAATCACCATACACAAATTGCCTAGAGGGAAAGGAAAATAAACAGGAGAGGAGTCATTTTAAAACCAGACGGGCCTGTTGCCTTTAAAACAAATTAACACACACGGGCTCACCAGGAAAAAAAAAAATGGAGCATCATCCCAAAATTGTAATTTCAAGAACTCTTGTCACTGTAAACGAATGCTATTTGTGAATTAGATTGCAGTCAGCATTTAAAGGCAGGCCCCTGATGATTTTTCAAATCATAAGCTTTCCCTGCATTGTTTGTCCAACAATAATTCTTCAAAGGTTGAATAATCATTTTGGGGTTGACAAAGATGGCATGGAACAGCACTGGGTAGGGTGGATGGGTAGAGAGATAAGGAGGATGACTGAGAGGGAGGGAGAACTGGAGAAATTCAGGCTATGAGAAAGACACTAGACAATAAAGAAAGGCCTTTAACTGGATGGCTAGCTAATCCAGTCTTTCAATGGGGAATCTTTTAAGGGCTCTCAGGGGACCCCTGGAGGAATACATTTGTTTCAGACATCTAGAGTTATTTTTGCGGGACATAACCATCTAATATAAGTATACTATCTAGGACACAGGCTACCTTGTCAAGGAAGTTCTACCTATCACAGAATAAACATGTTTTAAGAAAAACTTTCCCTCAAACCACTGCTAATAAAGACTCAGCCACAAGTCCTCTTTTTTATGTGAAGACACATTTAAAAAAAAAAGGAAAAAGGACACATCCTCTTTTTTTAAAGAAGACACACCACCAAAGCCAGAGAATAAAGCCCTGTCTTAATACTAACAAAACAAAACACAAACAAGTAACCTAGCCTAAAAAACTCCAGGATAAATTTGAAATTATAACCTATGAATCAATGGCACAAACATATTACACTTATTGATCTCTCAAAAACTGATGGGAAACAGAAGAACCCAACTCAATCTGAGCATCTTAAAGATGAGGCTCTAGGATGCAAGAAAATTACAATTATCTCTAAGGTAAAAATTGCTTGGTCTGACAATGATCAAACAGATTTCTGCAGTTTGACCCTTTCTACCACAAATACATTGGTTGATCCAACATGCAGATTTTTAACAGAAACCCAAGGCCAGCTGCTTATATGTGTTTTGACATGGTGAGAAGCCATAGGAATTAAAAGGACCAAAGGTTTTGCCTCAACATTAGCAACTGTACTGGAGAGTTAGAGAAATGATTTGAAAGTAATTTTGTGTAAGATGGTATGGATACCCACTAAAGTCACAAGAAAGTACCCACAGACCTGTATCTGAAAGATAACAAAATCACATAAAAGGCCCAAGATTTTGTTTCTTAAGTCAGTGTACTTGGCCAGTCCTTTAGGGTCCTTGTGGCAACTACTAAGACAGTAAACGAGCAGCCCCTAACAACCTCAGTTACAAAGAACTTTCTTATACTATACTTTACATTAAAGTTAAGTTAGGTTTGGAGTTAAGGAAGGTTTGGATAGAAGCACCTGCTCAGTAACAAAATGCAGGGCTTGAGCTAGCTGGTAAGCAGAAGATAATCCCGAAAAAGCGGTAAGATGAAATGTCAATGAAAACTTACTATTTTGCTCAAGACTGAATTGCAGAGCCTCCTTTAAGAGAAAATCAGTACTTAGGCAAGAGTAGCAGAAATGCCTTGCAATGCTTATGTCAATTAAAAGGTGCACCAAGTTTTTTTTTAGTTCATTCTCCAGAACCCTCATGTGGGAACACTATGGACTTAGTATGCATAGGGAAAAAAACAGAGCTAATTATGGTAAAATTCAAATTGTTAATAATAGTTCCTTCACTTCACTTGTTTGTCACTGCTTCTAAAAGTGAAGAAAGGCTACAAATTGATGAAAACATTGATTCTTTCAAGATGTGTTAAGTTCCAGTAAAAAGCCCCTGACATTTAGAATGGTGCCTACTACGGGCACATTAGTAAATGGAGGTTGAAAGCGGAGACCCTTCCCATGAATCACTATTTTATAATTCTTGAATGTGTCAGCTCTATTCTTTACGTCTATCAGACAACTCCCAGGAAAACAGACTGAGTGCAAACTAATGTTGACTTTTGTTGTGGGACACTCCTTTCTTTTTGATGGTCTCACAGGGACAATAGAATAGAAATCAAAGCTCCGGGTTCAGTCTCCAGGTGAAAACAGCAGACGCTTCCCATAATTAGCTGGACCCCAAAGGCAAAACCCTCACAAACACCTGAGCCCAAAACAATCCTTCTTCCTAATAACTTAAAATCTGAAATTCACCCTCTCTGGACAGCCAGCAAGGGAATCTCAAGTCTTGATCAAGGTGATCTCACGCTGCTAAGACAGCCCAGATGCCAGACAGAAGGAAGGCAGAATCATCTTGATCGCATAGTATTCTTACTAACAGTACTTTACATGTAGTGTCTAGCATGGAAGGAACTAAGACACCATGATAAAGACCACCACCCTCAACATAGCACAAACCAAATGCAGAACTTGGAACTGCCTTAAAAGGGTGTACAAGGATAAAAGAAAACACAAAACATAACAAAACTAATGTAAATCAACAAGAAGCCCACCTTTGCAGAGTAACCTAGCGGATTTGAAAATCAAACAAATAATGAAAAATGCGGTTACCAAAATTAAGAATGGAAAGGAATGGGTTTAATGAAACATGTCTATAGTTAGTTGAAGAGAGAATCAGAAAAATAGAAGGTGCTGAAAGTAACTGCTCATGATGCACCATGGAAAGACAAAAGGATGAAAAATGGAGAAGACTGGACAAGTAGGTCTACTGTGAAAAGCTCTAATACAACTTAAATCCAAGTCCCAAAAACTGAAGTGAGAGGAAGGTTATGGACAAAGCAGTATGTGAAAACAAAATTTTCTACTGCAGTGGATCACAGCTAGGCATGGTGGCACACACCTATAATCCCAGCTACTTGGGAGGCTGAAGCAAGAGAATGCTTAAACCTCAGAGACAGGGGTTGCCGTGAGCCGAAATCATGCCACTGCACTCCAGCCTGGGTGACAAAGCAAGACTCTTGTCTTGGAAAAAAAAAAAAAAAAATGCCAGGCACGGTGGCTCATGCCAGTAATCCTTGCATTTTTGGAGGCCAAGGCAGGCAGATCACCTGAGGTCAGGAATTCAACACTAGCCTGGCTAACATGATGAGACAACCCTGTCTCTACGAAAAATTACAAAAATTGCCAGGCACTGTGGCTTATGCCTGTAATCCCATCACTTTGGGAGGCTGAGGTGGGAGGATCACCTGAGGTTGGGAGTTCAAGACCAGCCTGACCAACATGGAGAAATCCCGTCTCTACTAAAAGTACAAAATTAGCCGGGCATGGTGGCACATGCCTGTAACCCCAGCTACTCGGAGGATGAGGCAGGAAAATCGCTTCAATCCAAAAGGCAGAGGTTGCAGTGAGCAGAGATGTCACCACTGCAGTCCAGCCTAGGCAACAAGAATGAAACTCCAGCTCAAAAAAAAAAAAAAAAAAAAAAAAAGACATACAGGGATGGGGGTGGAGCAGGGTATATGAGACAGTTGTTACAACAGCAGAGAGGCCATAGTACCACAGACAGGCATCAGGCAAAGCAAGAGGTTAGGGGCTTCAGAGAAGCACAGCCAAGAAAGTACACATGCAAGCCCTGAGATGAGATTCCCAAAACCTCTAGCCTGGCTGACTGGTGAAGGTCATACTCCCTGTATGAAGATACATAGGGAAGACTGGAAGAGATGGCTGTTTTTCTTTAGAAAAATAAGCCTAAAGAAACGATGATGTATGAGTTACCAGACAAAAAATTCAAGCTAACCATCTTAAAGATGCATATCAAACTAAGGAAACAGCTACAAACAAAATCAGAAAAACAACCCATAAACAACATGAGAATTATCAACAATGTAAAGGAAACCCACAAAAAAGGATCAAACTCTGGAACTGAATACAATTGAACAGAATTTAAAAATCACAGGTCCAGAAAGAATCTGCAAACTTGAAGACAGGCCACTGAAATTAACAAGTCAGAGGCGCAAAAAGGAAAAAAGAAAAATAAAGGTGAGCCTAAGAGAGGGAGTAGCAGACACCATCAAGAGGAACAATATACAAACTACAAGAGTCCTAGAAGGAGAAAAGACAGAAACAGAGAAAATGAGAACAGGATTTGGGGGAAAGACAGGGAGGGGCAAAAAGCCTACTAGAAGAGAATAATGGCCCAAACTCCCCAGTTGTGTGAAAGAAGATGGACATACAAATTCAAGAAGCTGAACTCCAACTAGGATAAGCCCAAAGCATCAAGAGACAATATAATCAAACTCTCAAGAGTCACAAAGAAAGAATCTTGGAAGCAGCAAGTAAAAAGTGACTCATCATTTACAAGGGAGCTCTTGCTAGATAAGCTATAACTCTGCAATCCAGAAGACAGTGGGATGACATATTCAAAGTGCTTAAACCAAGTGACAACGAAGAGTCTAACTATAAAAGAGCCAAATATGAGCGACCATGGCCCATGACACAACCCTCAAGAGGAGGCCCTGAGAACATGTAACCAAGGTGGTCAGGGCACAGCTTGGTTTTATACATTTTAGAGAGGCATGAGGCATCAATCAAATACATTTAAGAAATACACTGGTTTGGTCAAGAAAGGGCAGGGTTGGGGGGTTATCAGGTCCAGTCTATTGGTGAATTTAAACATTTTCTGGTTGACGGTTGAGTTTGCCTGGGATTGGTAAGAAGGGAAAGGGAATGCTCAGGTTAAGATAAAAGATGATGGAGACTGAAGTTCTTCTGAAGTCTTAGGGAAGTGGTTGCCCTTAGAGACAATAAATGACCAATGTTTCTTATTCAGATTTTAGTTTATCTCTTTAGGATTGGGAGGGTCTGGAAGAAAAAGATTTATCTATTTTAATAGAGATTCTTTACAGATGCAGATTTCTCCTCCACTCCCACGAAGAGCAGCTTTGCAAGTCCATTTCAAAATATGGCAAACATGTTTTGGGGTAAAATATTTTTATTTTCTTCATTGTCTCGTAATGTTATCCCAGAGTCAGACTGGAAAGTAAGTCATGAAATATAGGGTTAAATAAAACCCATCTGATGATGAGTCATGCTCATTTGTAGGGCGTAACTCTCCAGATCCCTTAGATAGGGATTTGGGTAAGATAATCATCAGGGTTTAGTCCTCACAAGAATACCATAACTTTCAAAATGAAAGAAAAAATAAGACCTTCCAAGGTAAGCAAAAGCCACTAGGCTGGCCTTACGAGAAATGCTGAAGAAAAGCACTTCAGGATGAAACAAAAGGATGTCAGACACAAAACCATATGAAAAAAAGAAAGAAAGAAAGAAAATATAAAGCTTTCTGATAAAGGTAAATATACAGACAAATAGAGAATCCTAGATCACAAAGGTGTATAAATCACTTTTAAGTCTGGTATAGAACTTAAAACACAAAAGCACATCAATAACCATAAACCAATGGTAAAAGGATACACAATAGAAAAACATTCATGTGTGCCATCAATAACAAAATTTGTCTGAGGGGATATGGAGATGCAACTGAAGGTAACAGTTGAAAACAGACTGTTTTCACTTTAAGATAATTTATGTAATCCCCTTGGTAACCACAAAGAAAATAACCATGGAAGACACACAAAATCAGAAAGGATTCAAAGTGTTCTTTTATTTTTTGTCACTATAAAAAGTAAAGAGCAGCAGAGCACAAAAAGGCAGGTAATAAGGGAGAAAAAATAGGTATAAAATAGCTACAGAACATACTGAAAATAATTAACAACAGAGCTATACTAACTAATGCCTTCCTTAACAGCAACTATTTTGACTGTAAAACAGATTAACTCCTCACCCCAATCTAAGGACACAGACTAGCTAAATGAATAAAACCAGCCAACCAACCAGTCAAGTTACAACTATATGCTGTTAACAAAAGACCGGTTTCAGATTTAACGACACACACAGGCTGAAAGTGAAGTGCTGAAGTTGATGTTCCAGGCAAATAGTAAGCAAAAGAGAGCAGGGGTGACCAAACTTGGGTCAGACAAAATAGACTATAAGTCAAAAATTGTCACACAAGACAAGGCAGCTCAAAAATGCTTATGTTACAACAGAAGAAAGACCTCAAATGAATAGCCTAACTACATTACAAGGAACTAGAAAAACAGAATAAACCCAAGGTTGGCAGAAGGAAGAAAATTAAATAAGACCAGAGCAGACATAAAAGAAAAAAACAGTAAGAAAAAAGAAAAAAAACTAAGGGTTGATATTTTAAAACAGATTAACAAAAACTGACAAAACCGAAGTTGAGCATGGTTGACTCACTTGGATAACACACTTCCTAATTTGAAAACAAAATACAAAATGACAGTAATTCAACAGTGTGATACTGGCATAAAAGACAGGCAAACAGACCAAAGGAAGAAAATAGAGCCCAGAAATAAACCCAAGCATATATGGCCAAATGATCTTCAACAAGGGTGCCCAGACCTCTCAATGGAGAAAAGACAGTCACTTCAACAAGTGGTGCTGGTAAATCTACGTCCCCATGTAAAGAAACAACATGAGAATACCTTACATTACACCATATACAAAAACCAGCTCTAAACAGATTAAACGTAAGGCCTTGAACTGTAAAGCTCCAAAGACAAACACAGAGACCACAAGCTTCATGACATAAGAGATATAATTTCCTGGACATGACACCAAAAGCAAAACCTGACAAATTTAAAAATGCCTGCCAACCAAAAGAAACAATCAGTAAGGGTGAAAAGGCAACCTATGGAATGGGAAAAAACATCCACAAATCTTACATCTGATACTATCTAAAGATGTCCTACAACTCCACAATACCAGAAACAACCTAGCTAAATACTGGACAAAGGACATGAATAAAACCTTTCTCCAAAGACATACAAACACTCAAAAAGATGTTCAACATCTCTACTCATCACAGAACTCCAAATTTAAAAAAATAATAATGAGATATGACCTCATACCTACCAGGATAGCCACGAGAAAAAAAAAAAGAAAATATATAAAAAGCAAACAACAGCAAAGTGTGGGAAGGAATGTGAAGAAACTGAAATTCTTCTACACTGTTGGTAAGAATGTAAAATGGCAAGGCTGCTATAAAAAAACCGCACAATGGTTTCTCAAAAATTTCAAAACTATCTCATCCAGCAATGCCACTTCTAAGTGTGTATACAAAAACATCCAGCAGGATCTGGAAGAGTTGTCTGCACCGCTGTGTCCCCAGCAGCATTACTCACAGTAGCCAAGAGGTGGAGACAACCCAAATGTCCATCCACAGAGGAATGGATAAACAAAATGTGGTATACACACCCAACTGAGTATTACTCTGCCTTAGAAAGAGGAAGGAAATACTGGCCAAGTGCGGTGGCTCACGCCTGTAATCCCAGCACTTTGGGAGGCCAAAGAGGGTGGATCACCTGAGGTCAAGGGTTTTGACTCCAGCCTGGCCAACATGGCGAAACCCCATCTCTACTAAAAATACAAAAATCAGCTGAGTGTGGTGATGGGTGCCAGAAATCTTAGCTACTCAGGAGGCTGAGGTAGGAGAATCACTCGAAACCAGGAGATGGAGGTTGCAGTGAGCGGAGATAAAGTCACTGCACTCCAGCCTGGGCGACAAGAGTGAAACTCTTTCAAAAAAAGAGGAAAGAAATACTTTCACATGCCACAACATGGATGAACCCTGAGGACATGACGCCAAGCAAAGTTAACTAGTCGAAAAGGACAAACACTATCAATTCCACTTATTAAGACACCACCCAAAAGAGTCAAATTCACAGAAGCAGAGTGGTATGGTGGTTGTCAGAGGTTGTAGAAAGGAGAAAGTGGCAAAGTTGGTTAAAGCACATAGTTTCAGTTTAACAAGATGAAAGAGTTCTGGAGATCTGCCACATAAGAATGTGAATATAGTTAACAACACTAACGAACTGTACACTTAAAAATGGTTAAGGTGGTAAATCTCTGACGTATCTTTTTTTTTTTGAAACCACAATTAAAAATTATTTAAGCATTTAAAACCAAACAAACCAAGAACTACAAAAAAACCTTTGCCCTCACTCAGTGGGTTTCTTGTTACTAGGAATATTGGCTTTGTCATTCTGAGATTATTTTATGTACACTCCCAGGACTAAACTAAGTAAACTAGTAAGTAATAAACAAATAAGCAAAAAAATTAATACCAAGCATGTTTGTGTAAGACAAAGGGATATATATTTCAAATAAAGTTAGGGCCAGGGCGGTCGCTCACACCTGTAATCCCAGCACTGTGGGAGGCCGATGCAGGTGGATCACCTGAGGTCAGAAGTTTGAAACCAGCCTGACCAACATGGTGAAACCCTGTCTCTACTTGGGAGGCTGAGGCAGTAGAATCACTTGAACCCAGGAAGCGGAGGTTGCAGTGAGCCGAGACTGTACCACTGCACACCAGCCTGGTCAACAGAGCAAGACTGTCTGAAAGCAAAATGAAACAAAACTCCCCCAAAAACAAAACAAAACAAAAACAAACAAGTTAGGTGGGGGAGAAAAAAAAATCTGTTGAATTTTAACTGGGAATTTGATTTAATAAACAAATGAGATACAACATATCATTTCATTGGAGATAAGAAGTCCACATCCATTTTAAAAATTATTCTCGGCTGGGCACGGTGGCTCACGCCTGTAATTCCAGCACTTTGGGGCGCCAAGGTGGGCGGATCACAAGGTCAAGAGATCAAGACCATCCTGGCTAACATGGTGAAACCCCGTCTTTACTAAAAATACAAAAATTAGCCGGGCATGGTGGCAGGCACCTGCAGTCCCAGCTACCTGGGAGGCTGAGGAAGGAAAACGGCGCAAACCTGTGAGGTGGAGCTTGCAGTGAGCCAAGATCGTGCCACTGCACTCCAGCCTGGGCGACAGAGCAAGACTCTATCTCAAAAAATTAAAAAAAAAATTATTCTCAAAGGTATGCAAACGTTTGAGAGACAAGCATAAGATGCTCCTACCTACCCACTCTCCAGCTTCGTAACATTTTTAAACTCCTGGCCAGCTTTGATTCATCTTTACCTATGCAGTCCTGCGCTGGATCACTTAGAAACAAATGGCCAGTACCAAATCATTAGAACCTGAAATATTCTCACAAGCCACTCGAAAATCTAAGTAACTCCGCAAATGTTTCTTAAGTGTGTTCCAATATATACATTTTTTCCTTTGTCCCTTTACCCAAGTTTGTCTTCATTCTTTGACAAGAATACTTCCTGAATGTAAGTATTCCTGCTATTACTTCCTGCTATTACTAGGAGGTGCATGATATCTGGTTATCTCTGTGGTCACACTGAAATCAAACAACAGGTTTAGGTATCACAAGCATGACACATCCTGTTTAATATCCCCTCTCAATATTTTCCCCTAATGGGAAGCCCTCTCAACTTTCACAGCGAAGAAACAAACATTCTTGGCTAAAATTTTCAGGTCAACAGTAAATAACAGAAGTGCAGGCAGCACAGGTACAAGGTCATAGTGGTCAAACAATCAGACAACCCTAGCCTGTGGAGTACTCAACTCAAGACAGCCAGCCTAGGTTCAAACACCAAGGCAACTGAGGACTTTGGCTAGGTCTTAAATCAGAGTCCAAGTGAGGACTGCGGGGGTGCCATAAGCAGGTAAACAGGGAGGGCAGATAAGCAACAGAACAAAATCAAAAAAAGCAACAGAAAAAAAGTCACTGAAGAATGGCACAAAAGGAGTTGCCATTGTTTGTTGTCCCTGACCTATTCTTTCAGTGTTTCTGCATGTCTAAAAATTTCTGTTAAAACAAGTCAGGCAAAATATTTTACTTCCTTAGCTGATCAGGTATTAGCAAGCACTTGGGTATAAACCTGTCAGGAGTCAGAGCCTGAGGTGTAGGGAGGAGAAACAAAGCTGTAGACACATCTTTTTCTCATCACTAGCTTAAGATTATCTGGACAACTTCAGCCCTTCACCTCAAGGAACACAGCTAAACTTTATCGCATTTAAAACAAAGTTCCCCTCTTCTGACAAACAGAATGGACACAGAGTTTACATAGCTATGGTTTACATTCTTGAATGAGGCTGGGCTACTGGAGATAGCCCAAAGGGACATCACACCTCTACTCAACATCAAGAACCCACTGCAAACCCAAGAGACCATGACACAATATGCTCTTAGAGAAAACCAAATGTGTTTTAGTTCTCTCTAATCATAATGGGTGTACAGACAAAACAGAAGAATAAAATAGAAAGAAAAAGAAAAGACAAAGAGGGAGGTGGCAGACAACACAAGGGAAAAAAAAAACTTACCTGTATCAAATTTGATAAAGTTGATTATCTTGCCAGTCCCTAAATCAATCTGCACAGTATCGTTCACCTTGATGACAGGATCTGGGTAGCGGATGGTTCGAGCATCATGAGTCACCAGGTGAGGGATTCCCTTCACTCCCACAGTAATCTTCCTCACTTTGCACAACTTGTACTATAAACACAGCAAGGAAAATCAATTCAATATGTAAACACAAAGCCAGCCTAAAGCAGTCACCCAGACATTACTTATCCCATCGATTTCCAGCATTTCCTCGGTCAGAGAAGGAGTGCTCTTGGGAAAAACTATATTAACCAGTCACAGAGCTGATGATCTCCCATACTGATTTAGTAATTTAGACATTTGGGAAACCTTGCCAAGGGGGAATCTGTTTCAGAACCCTCTGGTGGCTGCTGGAAGAGTGCTCAGCTGAACTAACCTCTGGTCCTTTATCACAGGCTAAAAGCCTGTTGCCTGTGTATCTGAGTGGTAACACACAATCAACTGGTATATCATTTTTTCCTCAGGGACATATTTCCAATTGATAGTCCTCAATGGGCAACTCTGGAGCGGTGGTAACAAAGAGCCCCAGAGACAAACTTAACTCTACCACTACTAAGAACTGCTAAGAACATGTGGCTTTTGCCGGGTGCGGTGGCTCATGCCTGTAATCTCAATACTTTGGGAGGCCAAAGCAGGCAGATCACCTGAGGTCGGGAGTTCAAGACCAGCCTGACCAACATGGAGAAACCCCGTCTCTACCAAAAATACAAAATTAGCCCGGGTGGTGGCACATGCCTGTAATCCCACCTACTCGGGAGGCTGAGGCAGGAAAGTCGCTTGAACCCGGAAGGTGCAGGTTGCAGTGAACCGAGATTGCACCACTGCACTCCAGCCTGGGCAACAAGAGTGAAACTCTGTCTCAAAAAAAAAAAAAATCATGAGGCTTTTATGACCAGGTTAGGTAAAACAGCTGTCTCGGCCAGCTACATGCTTTCTGTACACAATGCTGCTCTTCCTCATCTCATTTTTAAATGGCACAACCCATTAACTACTTGCTTTATTCCTTGTTTAACACTTACCACTCTGGTGTTGCTCGTGACATCTATCAGCAGGAGGAGTTCAAAATGTCTCATACCAAGTACATGTATCAGCCCAAGAGTTATCCAAGCCCCATTTTGTTCCAGAAGCAATTTTCAGGAGATTCAAATGGTACACTATGTAATCTCAAACAAACATAATCCATTTATGGTTGCCAATGCCCATCCTACATACCACAGGCTCCCCATGGACTGTCACCGCTCAGAAGTGACAAAGTGGGTTTTCTTTCAGCTTTGTTGGGAGAAAAAGCTTATAAAAGTTAAAAGATATTAAAAACTCCACATTTAAACTGAGTACAGTCCTCTGAAGTCTCAGGACAAATTCTGGGTAAATATGAAAATGACAAGGACAAACAGAGTGCCAGATGACAGAAAAACTCCCTGAAAAGATGACAGAAATACTCCAGAAACTGTACAATAAATGAACTCGAGGAGCCACTTTTTTGTTTTTTAATCAGCTGCTGCATTTCCTCTCTCCCGTATCTTTGGGCTCTCAGGACTAACTAGGTTTGCCAGCTTCTCTCTTATCACTGCTTTTAACCTGCCTAGGAGGTGTGGAAAGAGACACAGTAAGTAAAGTAACCAGAGCTTGGCTCATTCTCCTATAAAAAAGGCCGAAGTTGAAATACTGTCCCCTTAAGCTTCAGAGGTGCAAGATGGGAATAATTATTGCACACTACTACATCTTATAAATTTATGAGATAATGGAACATAAAGGACCTGGCAAAGCAGTAAATGTCAGCTAATATTATTTCTGCTGCTACTATAGATTTAACACCATTCAAGGTGCTATGGAGATGTGAGGCCATTTAATATAAGCCAGCAGTCCAAAAAGGTGACAAAGGCTCCTATTCCACATGTGGAACTTAGGCCACATTAACTCCCCAGTTAAGGTAAATCTGGAATTCATCAGCCTGGCATATCCAAGCCCACTTATCCATGTTAAGGCCTGGATCCTATGCAGTCAATCTAATGAGAGCACGCTCTTCAAATCAAAACTTCACAGTTGACACACCCCTCCAGGCATTCTCCAATGAGTGTTCAGTTTGTTTGCCACCACCACCTCATATTTACCACCACTACTAATAGAAACTCAAGATCATTTCCAGCTTTCCTGGCCAGTGAGTTAAGCAAAGAATTGAAAGCTGCGTAAGTTCCCTGATCAGAACTGCCTACTGGACCAACCAACTGAAAACTTCAGAGACTATAATTCAGAAGTCAAACATAAATGTAGAAATTGAAGAAACTCCCAGATGCTGCATGCAAACATACCAATTAAAGCTCTTAAAAGAAAAGTTGGAAGCACTTCAAGGGACAATTAGGCTGACTGAGCCCTTTTCTTCCAAAAGGAAAAGGAAAACCACATCCTCCTTTCCGGCTGCCCTGCCACTGTGTGTACCACCCCCAAATTAACTTTAGGAATGCCTTTGGGTCCAGAACTTGGCCCTAAAGGACAATACATCAGAAACCTGCTTGCATACAAACAAAAAGGCCACAGTGTGTAAAACTTTTGTTCTACTGCCTGTCATAGTAAGGCACAGCAGGACAGAAGCCCTTTGAAAGTTTGGATGGAACTTGGAGGGAGTGAATGGTGGCAGAAGGAGAGCAAACCAAACACAGTGCAAACCAAGGTGACTATAGGAATGGCCCCACCACCCAGCGATGTAAGTACTTGGCCATCCATAAACAAGTGTAATGAAGGTAATGTGAATGTGTGCAGAGGCAGGGTAGGGGGTGCTGTCATTAAGACACTGAATACAACTTGGCACATTCCTTCCAATCAGGTATAAACATCCCCATAAGAGAAGACAGATCCAATATGCAACCAAATTCAGCAGATAAGGTTATGTACCAGAACAGAAAATCATCAAGCTGTGGTGCTACAGTAGGCAAAATACTTACGTGAGATGAGGCAGAGGGAGAATATGGACACAGACACAGAGTGTCCAGGGTACTGAAAGGAGGTTCACTAAGCAGCCAAGCAGAACTGCCTCAGACAATAAATGATATAACAAGGGCACAGAGGGATACTAACCTGCCCAACCTCAGGGTGAATACATGTGGATGGGGTATAATATGCCTATCAAAGCCCATTCTTCTCTTTGCCCTCTAATCTAAAGTGGAAAAGTACGAAGCTATAGTCCATAAGCACCAAAGCAGTGGGCTAAGATTCCAGGTTTGTTTGAGTCTACGGTAAGTAAGGCTAGAGGTGCTGAGTAAGCAGACAGAGAAAACACATTTTCCCCTTATACCTCCCGAAGCCCTGGGACCAAACCATAAGAAAGATTACACCACTCAGTATACATTCTGCAACCAGTGGAGCCAGACTTAAAAACAATCTGTCAACTTCACTCTTCCATCCTCATTTAAAAGAGTAACTTGCACTTTACCTTTAAAATGTGCTATCCAATCATCAGTACCAATCCAGTGACCACTTACTAATGCAGTGTTACTTTAACCAACCTAGGGCTACTAGTGGGCATTTTCAATCTCTCCAGCTCTACTCCACGCTAGATATAAGAAACCCTCTGGGCCGGGCGCGGTGGCTCACGCCTGTAATCCCAGCACTTTGGGAGGCCGAGGCGGGCGGATCACGAGGTCAGGAGATCGAGACCATCCCGGCTAAAACGGTGAAACCCCGTCTCTACTAAAAATACAAAAAATTAGCCGGGCGTAGTGGCGGGCGCCTGTAGTCCCAGCTACTTGGGAGGCTGAGGCAGGAGAATGGCGTGAACCTGGGAGGCGGAGCTTGCAGTGAGCCGAGATCCCGCCACTGCACTCCAGCCTGGGCGACAGAGCGAGACTCCGTCTCAAAAAAAAAAAAAAAAAAAAAGAAAGAAACCCTCTGTCCCTGATAACCAGAGAAAGAACTCTGAAATGCAAGCTCTCTACCTCTGCCCCTCCAACTTCATGAAGCAAGTCTTTGCATCACGGCCTGCTGAATGCATTCCTATCACCCAACTGTCCTCCACATTTTTTGTATGTGACATCCTGAACCTACTTGGGTGATTCTAAAACATTTCCAGTGAAAGTTAATCTTGTCCCTTTTCCACCCTGGCTCATTAGCTCCAAATAGCCCAGGTAAGACAGGTCCAAGCAAGTTCTATGACTGTGAACTCATAGAAGGCCTATTCACACCTCAAAGCCTACCTGCTGCCCTCCACTTTTCATGTACATCCTGTCCAGTGTACTCTCTCAGCTGAGCTGAGAACAGTGCTAAGGGAGTCAAAATAGTTAGCAGGTACTGCTGACAGTCAGGAGAAAGACAGCAAAAACAAAACAAGTAAAAACTTTTTCTTCTCCTATATCCTCCACAGATCCTTTCACTAACCAACAGTTTCTGCATGGATAGCAACAGCACCATGCAGTTCACTGCTATATCACAACATCAAACTTGAAGCCTTGTGCCCAAAGGTCCTCGGCCTTTAACTGCACATGTGAAACACCCTCTGAAAAAAGACATGGCCTCTTTCTTTAAAGGTGCCTCCAGTTCCAAGTGGCCTCCCTCCATCCTGTGAGATAGTTCCGTCTGGAACTGTTAACCCAAGCTTCACGATGCGTGTCGGTCCTTTAAGCATCCACAGATGACTGTGAAATACAGATTACACTTAGCAACTATCTATAAGTGAGTGAAATGCCTGTAAGCATGCTAGCACATTAACGGGTAACAGTTCTGTGTCTAACCTCTATACAGAGCTGACTGACCAGGTCTCCAGTGCTTCAAGACCAGGACTAAGGCAGGCTAAAAACTTTTGAACACTTTTATTAGTGGGAGTGCTCCTGCAAAAGCCAACTTTAGCAGGCTTTCCTCACATCCACCTCAGACGACTTTTATTACCTATGCACCTTCATGTGGCCAAAACAGCTCAGGATTTAGATCTTGGGTCCTCTCGCTTAGTAGAGGCCCATCCTGCCAGGAAACTAGAGGTTCACTAAGGGTAAGACTGGCCATATCATGAGGGGAACTTCCAGTTGAGCTAAACCTCTTACCACAGGGGTAGCCTCAACATCTGCAGAAAACCAATTATTTTTCCTCTGTCCCACAGCTGAAAAGACTGTCTTCAGATTTTAAAGATGTGACACCCCATCACCTTCTGTCCTCCAGCCCCAAGACTCCCAAAGACTGTAGGGCCCTCTGAGTCACCACTGGCAAGTGAGAAAGGCACAACAATGACAGCAGACAGGAGACTGCTCTGAGTTCAATCCTTAGTTCCTAGTATGGGGCTCAGCCTCTATGTGGTAAAGGAATCAGAGTTCGGATTGAGTCCTGCAAGTAGGCAGGCTCAAAGCCACAAAGGCAAGGATACAATGGATGAAAACAAAACAGTATGAGCTGAAGGATGCCAAACCAACTGCTTATAATAAAATGTCTGAGACAAAAGGAAATGTCTGAGAGAAAAGGAGAGGGTTGGGAGCCACGGAAATAAAAGGTAGCTGAGCCTAGGTATATGTAAGCCACGCATATCTAAGCAAAATGCTTAGACAGGGTAGCCTCCAGAATGTGTCAGTTTCTGAGCACTCTCAGAGACAGAAGTTTGGAGAAAAACAGCCATTGAAAGGAACAAAATAATGCCTTTTGCAACAACATGGATGGACCTGGAAGCCATTATTCAAAGTGAAATAACACAGGAGTGGAAAACCAAAACCCCTATCTTGCTATGAGTATGCAAAGGCATACAGAGTGATATAACGGGCTTCAGAGACTCAGACGAGGGAGGTTGGGAGGGGGCCAGAGACCCAGATGAGGGAGGTTGGGAGGGGGCCAGGGATAAAAATAACTACACATTATGTTCAATGTACACTACTAAGGTGATGGGTGCACTACAATCTCAGAACTCACCACTGGATAATTCATCCATGTAACCCAAAAAACACCTGTATCCAAAAAAATTACTGAATTTTTTCAGATTTATTTTAATAGAAGAACTACAGAGAAAAAGTTTATTCTTAACTGTTGAATAGCACTCTACCACAAGAAAACCTCAACTCTACCATCTGTCTGCTCAGCAGTCTTGACCAGTCATAATTTGTAATTACATCACCACCTACTACAACATGCCTGCCCCATTGACACCCTTTCCATACAATCTTGACTGCAAGGTGAAGCCTCCTGTCATTCTCCAAAATGAATGTCAAATGTGAGGCTCCCCTGAGAGCATTCTACGCTGTCCCTCTCAAACCACAGATAAACTCTTCGCTTCAAGTTTCCACTGCCCTTTGTACAACACCTACACAAACTAGTATGAAATCTTTCCCAGCTGGCCTCCCTCAGAAACAGATCTAACTGCCCAGGTTCCATCTTTTCTGAAACTTAAACTTCAACTGCCTATTCCCTCCACCTGTCTTCTTCCTTGCCCACCAAAAAGGCACTAGTCTCCCCACTCATGGTCTTGATCATCTCCTTTTGCACCAGTCTCCAATTCTCTAAAACAAATGGGCAAACATCACCCACTATCTCAAAAGAAAATCCCTCTTTCTGCCTCTTTCTAGTCACTGTCCCGTATCTTCTACTTTGAGAATAACTGTCACCTTTATGAGATTCAGTCTTCTCAACGTTCAAGAATGGTAATCCATAAACCCAAGTCTCTGTTTGGTTGGTTACTCTGATTTTCTCTTTTTGATTTCTTTAACCAGTATTTTCTACTTTTCAGGAAACAGAACCTGCACCACCTAGACCCTGTTCATAAACCTTCTGCAATATGAAATCTCCCTCTCCCCATACACACCTATCACTGAACACAAGCTGCCCAGTATCAATGAGGTTTCTGTGCCAACTATTCAGACAGCATCTACTGTAACTCTTTTGAGCAGTGTTTCAGTCCTCTATTTCAGTCAGCACTTACTTCTGTCTTATCATCTATTTGCAAGTTGCAAGGCAAGCTGAACCCAAAGCATTAAGGTACTGTCCTTCCATCCACAACTCTCTCAAGCATCCATGTATTTCACCAAGATCTGCAGCTACCATCTCCTTATCCTACCACCAAATATTCAATCACCCTGTTCCACATGTGCTTCCTCCACACCACAGCTGGGGATGTATATTCTAAACCCCTGTCTTCTTTGCCATCTTCCAGGTGATACTTGTGCTCTCTACCCCCACTCACAATGGGAACAGGCACTGCCTTAGTTCCCATTACTCGTGTGCAAGTTCATCATGGGCTCACCCAAACTCTTTCTTTTTCTCCCATCCACTGTAATGGCAATCACCCACAAAAACAGACCTAATCTCCCATTCTTAAATCCAGTGACTTCCATTTCCTTGGTCTTCAACAACTAATACCAAGTTGTTACGGGGAAATATTATGTCTGAAATCCATCAGGCTGTTTTCCCAAGACCCACAAAATACCACTTTTCTAGTCTTATTTTCAAGGGTGGAGGGCTGTTTGGATGTTCTGTCTCTCCACTAACCTATGCTACCTGGTGGATTAATAAACTATGAAAAGGCTCCCTGGTGTGTCCCTGACATAACTGACGTCCCAGGAGCCTCTGATTCTCCACTCTGAACTCGCTGTGTCCTTGGCTCAAGCCAAGCTAAACTGGGTGGGGTTTGTGACAGGGAATGCTCCCTTCCAGCTGCCCAAAGAAACAACCAGCAAACAAATAAGCTCAATCAAAACTTCCCAAGTCTCTCACCTGTTACACAAGGATAAGGCCAATACCGTAACCCAGGGCAACCATTTGGCACTTCTCGCTACTATGCGATAGTCTCCTGGACACAAGGTTTTTACACCCTGGCTGGCCAATCTGGTAGGGCCAGTACTAGGTATTAACAACACTCCAGTATCTCCTTGTCCCACTCCATCTCCCCCTACTTAAAAATTCACAGGGACTACCAATCTGCATTGTCTCTTGAGATCCAAATTCCATACAAAAGCAGAAACCAGTCATCAGATTTGATTTCCTCTGTGCTTTCTACCTTTTAGGTACAAAAGAATCCAACACCCTACGCGACTGAACACACTGCATGATTCAAGGCCTAGTTCCTATCATCTAAAACAAAGTACCTCCTGTGGGCGAATCCACAAAAACAGAATGGACCCTGCATCAAGGGACACGACCAAATAAGTCAGAAACAACCAAACAACCGATATTTGTCAATTCCTTTAGGGACTCTAATGTGTTTCCCCCAGAGAAATAACAGAGAAAAAGGCAAGCTGGTTAAACTAAGTAGAAACAACATCCAATGAAACGTTGTGATTCACTTACAGAATGCATCTCATATTCAGATGGCATCTGGTCACTGTAAGTGATTGGGTCATGTGAAAAACAAAGTCACCCCATGACCCTAAATCCAGGGAAAAGAGGAATGGATGACTGAAGGGTGATCCTGGTTTCCAAAGAGGTCTTCCCTACACAGAAAAATGGAAGGTGCTGTCCACACAGAAAGCAACTCCCTTGAAAGTTTCCTTGAAACTTCAGCCATTAAATCTGGGGAGGGAAGAGGGAGTTTTAAGGGCAGAGGCAGACATCAGGCAGTCAATCATCTTCTATGTCTAGCAAGTGCAAGGCAGCACTACTACTAACATAGTCACAGAAACCTGGCAGGAAAGCATATTATCACCATTTACAAGGAAAACAAAGACTCAAAAAAGGTTCTATGTACTGTTGCCTGCAGTTACACAATTAATCAATGACAAGAAATCTGGATTTCTACCCAGGCCTTCCTGGTCAATATCACAGATCTTTCCTGTACAGAAATATCTTGTCCTTCAGAGAACTCCTTACTTGTAATCCCGTTTCTAAAACAGTCTTGTGTGGAAAATCCATTACTTTCTATCAGTGTGCACCTACATGCCTGGATTAAACAACCAGACAAACAAGTAGAGATAGGAAATATTCCCGGAATCTGGCTTAAACACCCTCTGACAAACTTAGCAACCGACCTATCTGTCTGGAAATTACAAAGCTCACTTGACTTGTGCAACATACCTTTGCCTCTTCCACTGTGATGCGGTGAACAGCAAAACGGCCCTTGGTGTCATAGACCAGGCGGAAATGTTCACCTGTCTTCTCGATGCTGATGACATCTGATCACAAAAGGGTATAAGGAACATCGTTAACACAAACACAAAGTTTCTTTTGCCTGCACAGCAGGAACACTCTATGCCAGGTTGAACCTGAGAACGTTTTAGCAGCCTAGGAGTCCCCAGGGCTTGGCGGAGGTGCTTGAATGAAACCAACCAACCCCTGCTCCTCTCCCAATACATGTCATCCAACAAAAGAAAGTGAATACATTTATGGCTGCTCTATTGCTTCCTATGTTCTTGTGCAATAGCTGCTTGAGACTGTGTGCTGGGTTAACGCACTCAGGATCCTGAGGAGAAAACATACATGAGCACACCCACAAATACCAGGAAACCAAATGAACAAGCAGACCTCACATTTAAGCAAGCAAGGCTCCAGGCTCAGCAGGCTGCCCAATCAATGTCCTGGCCCCATTTACGCCCTCCATGACTTCGCTTATCAGGAGTCCTGCCTCACTCAGGATTTGGGGTTTTGAGAAACAAAGCAAAATGCTAAAAAAAAAAAAGAGGAAGGAAGGAAAGTAAGAAAAGGAAGGTCTGTCTTTTCTAACTCAGTGGCTGGATCCTAGGAATGTCCGGCCTGGAACCCCATCCACTCGGTAGCATCCACACCTGACAAAGTAATCATCCCCCTGCTTTCTGGACAATGCTAGGCTAAAAAGCTGTACTGAGCCTTTCACCATGAAAAGGGTGAACAAAGCACTAGGTCAGAATTCCTTACCTTTCCCTACCTTCCCTCTTGGTACACTTTTTCCCTAGAGGTGTGTGACCCTTCTGCCCCTCCTCCACCCTCCCCGCCAAAAAAAGCTGCAAATCCATCCTTGGAGATCCAGAATAGTTAAGTCATCAACGAAGTGGGAAGACAGAGCCAAAACCCTGTTCACTGACAAAGATTCTCTCCTTGACCAATCGTTAGCCAGTTTCCTCTGAGCCCTCTTCTTGGCTAAGCTTCAACCTTGACCTATGAAGACCTCAACACTAACACAGCTTCTAAAAGCTCAAGATGAGCCCAGTCTGCCTCAAAATGCCTGCCTGAGAAAACTCAAGGCTGCCAAAAGAATTTACTGTTTGTTCCAGCCAACACCTAAGGACAGCTCCTCTGTCTCCCAGTCTCTGCCGGGAAGGTAGGAGCCTAACTTTGATAATCCGCCAGCATGCAGCCACTGCTGGCCTCATCCCATTTACATTATCAACCCCTTTCCAGCTTTTCACTTGAGCCTTGCCACTCCTCTCCCTATCCCTCATTCTCCTTCTGAAAGGACCAGCAGTAACTTCTGCAGAAATCTGAAGTTCAGTGTCCAGTTTTATCACTGGCAACATGAGAGCCCTACATCTTGTCCTTCTCTCAACCTGTTCCTTCTTCAAAACAAAACAAAGAACTCTTTCCTTACCCATGAATCCAGCAGGGTATGTGACATCCACTCGAACCTTGCCATCAATTTTGATGAAACGTTGCATACATATCTTCTTTACCTCATCTCCAGTCAACGCATACTTGAGTCTATTCCTGAGGAAGACGATCAGAGGAAGACATTCCCTCAGCTTGTGGGGACCTGTCGATGGACGAGGTGCCTGTAGAAGACAAGGAAAGGTAACCTAATCTAAGAAGATCCACTCCTTATGTAACCAGATTGAGCAGATGACGTACTTTAGTTCTGCATAAGTTCAGCTGAACTTAACTTGTTGTGGGGAAGAGGAATACAAGAGGGCAATTATTTTATTAGTTTAGAGGTCTGTCTTGTTAGGAAGGTCATATCCCCAACCATGGAAATCTCATTTTGTGCCCCTTCCTTCCCCAAATCTAGCCTCACAACCATCTCCCCATTTTGCCCTGCCCCAAGCACCACTGCCACTCATACTCCTTCTTCAAACCTCCCTTGAACACAACACTACATCCCATGTATCTCAAGTGTAGCTTACGCTTTACCCAAAACCTTATGAAGACATATTCTACTACTCTCTCACCATGCCAGGCTTCAAAGTTCCACACAAGCCCTGCCGATGTTGCAGGACCACCCTGTAATACCCAATGTGCGTTCCTCCTCTCTTGGCTGCTTGCCGGCTTAAGTGTCATCAAATTCACACCGCAACAAATCCTGTAACCTATACTCTCGCAGTTTTGGTGTTATACTGTCCTTAGGATATCTGCTACCAGTACATATAAAAGTCTCAAGGTCTGTCTTGAACACCACTCCCCAATTACCTTTTAAGTTTGGATCACACAAGAATCTCTTCCAATGGAGACCGTTCAAGCTGCTTCTACAGATCCCTCTCTAGCTTTGTCTCTCTTAAAACGGACTCGCGATCATTAACCACACACTTTCATCAATGTCACAGGGAAAAGGAGAGGAACCCACAAGACTAAGGGACCAAGTTCCCAGCAAGTCTTCTTAAAGAGTGCCTTGCTCATCCACTTAACAATAGAGAAAACAATGGCCCATCCAGGGAGGTCAAATAGTAGGTGACAGTAGCAGAGGTAGCACTTGGAAGCAGAAACTGACAGGGACAGGTTGCAAATCCAGGTCCCCAGCCAACACACTGCCTATGTTCTCTCTGAAAATATCAGAACAAGGAAGACAAGTTTCTACTACTCAGTGTTCAGAGTTCAAACTGTACCAAGAAGAGGCCAAATCAAGTTAGTTACTAAGTGCCTCCTAAATGGAGACCCTCAGAGCTAAATATAGTCTCTTACCACATTTATTCCTGCTCAAAAAACCCTTGGCATCTTAAGCGCCTCGATTCTGTCTTCTTCACACTGGCTCCTCTCTGTCTCAGAAGACCAAGACTTTACAGTTTTAACCACTCTCTCCTAGTGTGACCACACCATCAATGTGGAAATTGCCTAGTCTCCTTGTGAGATGCTTGCCTACTGTGCCTCTGAGTATACTGCCCTCATCCTGCCAGGTCTTCAAGGTTGGGTTCAAGAGCCTCCAGACTTTCTCACACAACTTCTTGCCCTTGTTTCGTGGGCTCCTGTAGCCTTTACTATTAAACCAGTAACTCGGGCTCAACGTAAAAAGCAGCTACTCCACCCTCTAAAACAAGGGGTAACTTTAAATTAAACGCATTTGATTATTAATGGGGGACTCAGCGGACTGTCACTGAACTCCTTTCTTATGTGGAATTGGACACATTCATTAACCCACCCAGCTCTGGGCTCAGGAAGTGCCCTCTGAAGTGGCGAGCTAAAAGAGCAAAGGAAACCATCGGGACGTGACATCCTGGCCCTTTGTTGCACAGAAAAGTGCAAGGACAAGTTCAGGGTGCGGGAAGTCTTTACCAACGAAAATCCCACATAACAAACAAGCAAACGCCGCCCCCAAGAAATACCGAGCCACAGGTATTTAGCATGCACTCTTGACTAAAAAAAACAAAAAAAAACCACAAAAAACAAAGTTATACTCACAAATACACCCGTTAGTTTGTCAAGCATCCAATGCTTCGGCGCTGCAACACGCTTTAAGTGCTTCTTGGGGCCCCGGGCCTGAAAAGGACACGAAACTCAGAGAAATTAGTTTCCGCTGACAGTGAAATGCCCTCATCTTCAGCTGTAGGAACTGCTAACGGGTAATACCTGACTCAAGGAGAAAAGATCGCCCAGCCCATACTCAAGCCCCGTTTTGAACAAATATTACTTCCTGCCAGACCCCAGAAGAGACCACGCAAAGCACAGACCTTTGAAAACTTGGCGGGTCTCCCTAGCATCCGTCAAGAGAGCGTCCACAGTGCTCTCCAAGCGAATCTGAGGCTGCTTCAACGTGTGAAAATAAGCTAATCCGGGTAAAAAGCCACTGCCGGGCTGCGTCAAGGATGGACTCACGTGACGGCCCCCAGACCGAGCACAACGAGACACACTCTTCTCAGACCTCCCCTCTCCAAATCGGGTTTCCTGAAGCAGCACCAGCAGCATTCCCACCCACCAAGTAGGGGCGACCGAAAAGTGAAACATCGCCAAGGTAGAACGGCCCTTTTTCAAATGATGGAGGCAGATATACTAGGAGTTAGGAACTATCGGTCTTACCATGGCGAAACTCTGCGACGGAAGAGAATCTGTTCTTTTCCGGTGCAACCAAAGTCTGTTGTCGTAAACCGCAGGAAGTCAGATGAGTGAGAAGTTTAGTTCCGGTTTCTTATTCTTCCGCTGTAGAGTTCATATCCTGGAACTGAATTTCTTAGCATTTTCAGTTTCTGATACTGATTTACAGGTGTCAGTTATGCCGCAGGACTTTTTGTTGTGCCTACCCCCCGTCAAGTTGGCTGAGCTGGGAGGACGCAGTTTACACTCTTAAACTTATCTTTCGCCGACCTTCAAAATATTTAGCAAAAGTCCTGAAACAGCACGATTTAGGAGCCTTAAAAAAAAATGCCAATCGTGAGAAATAACCTATATGATTCCTTGTGACTGTGACATGCTGTGATTGCAAAATCATGATTTGTTTCAGAGACAAATCATTCCTTGTTCAGGATTGGGGCCAATTTCATAGGTTTGGGAAAGTACTAAAATCGTCTGTACCGTAAACATTGAAAGGATAGGTTTCATGGCATTTGAATTTTAAGTCGAATACCTTGCTTTGGATTAGCTCGTGATGATGGCTGCACAGCTCTGTCCATGTCGTAAAACCTGCAAAACAATTCACTTTTAAGAGAGTGAAGTCCGCTATGTAAGTTGTACTGCGCAGGCGTGTGTGTGGTCACAGCTTCCATTGGAATTTTTCACGCGCGTCCGCCTGACAGAATTGATATACAAAAAACAACCAGCCAGGCCGGGCACGGTGGCTCACTTCTGTAATCCCAGCTCTTTGGGAGGCCGAGGTGGGCGGATCACGAGGTCAGGAGATCGAGACCATCCTGGCTAACACGGTGAAACCTCGTCTCTACTAAAAATAAAAATACAAAAAATTAGCCGGGCGTGGTGGCGGGCGCCTGTAGTCCCAGCTACTCGGGAGGCTGAGGCAGGAGAATGGCGTGAACCCGGGAGGCGGAGCTTGCAGTGAGCCGAGATCGCGCCACTGCACTCCAGCCTGGGTGACAGAGCAAGACTCCGTCTCAAAATAAACTAAATTAAATTAAATTAAAACAAAAAAACAACCAGTCAAATGAAGCTGCACTTCCTTAATGTGTACAATTTGATGAGTATGGACATAGGCGTAAATCCACGATACCACCATCACAATCGAGGTAATGAACATCTCCATCACCTCCAAAAGTTTCCTTGTGTTCCTTTCTGGTTATTCTCTCTCTCTCTCTCTCTCTCTCTCTCTCTCTCTCTCTCTCTCTCGGCCAGTGCACAGGTTGGTTTCATACATTTTAGGAAGGCAAGATGTAAGATGTACATGGTGCAGGACATTGGGGTGGCTTGGTGGGGGGCTGGGGCAGTGGGAAGGTAGAGTTTGATGTCGTAAGAGACAAATGGTTGCATTATTTTGGGTCTCTGATCAGCCTTTCACTAAATACACAATTTAACTGTAACAGGAAAGGTAGAGGCCGGGTGTGGCAGCTCACACCTGTAATCCCAGCACTTTTGGAAGCTGAGGCAGATGGATCACCTGAGGTTGGGAGTTCAAGACCAGCCTGACCAACATGGAGAAACCCTGTTTCTACTAAAAATGCAAAAATTATCTGGGCGTGTTGGCACATGCCTGTAATCCCAGCTACTCAGGAGGCTGAGGCAGGAGAATCGCTTTGGAAACTCTGTCAAAAAAAAAAAAAAAAAACAGGAAGGGTAGAGGAATAGTCAATTACTTTCATAGTCTGGCTCAGTGAGTCTGTATTTTTACATAAACAGTGTAGCAGAGGAAACAATGAGATAGGCATTTGTTGCAGATGTGCACATGGAGGACTTTCTGTCTTGCACCTGTGAAGATGAGCTACCAATGTAGGTCGCCAGGGTGAAATTAAACAGAACTGCTTTGGAGTAAAGATCTTGAGGTGCATGGCTGGGCGTAGAACCTCTGCGCTTTCCAATTTGAGACCCTTGGTGGGCAGTGCCTAAACACAGAGGCAACTGCAGGTTTCTGGCTGTGGGCAGTGAATCTAGGAGTTTCCGTGTGGAGGCACCAAATCACCACTGCTCAGTTTGTTTAAGGTATCTGGGTCTTTTATAATTTTTTTTTTCTTTTCTTTTTTGGTCTTTCAGTGGCTGTTTCCCTGTAGTTCCTTGGAAATTGAGGGCAATTAGCTAGGATCACTCTCTTGTGTTACCTGAATGCCAAGGAGTGAATAGGAATAATTGTCCTGTCCAGAAGGGGGAAGGACCTTTTTTTTTTTTTTAATCTGTTCCAGGTGTGGTCCCTGATTCCTATGTGTGATGCAGCTCAGAGTAGACTTGCAAATGTTGCAGGAGATGTAAACCTTCTTTTCTTATTCTCCCGTTATCCTACTCAACTGGCTAAGAACAAAAAACGAACCCAGCTTCCAGTTCCTATCATTAACGTTCATGGAATGGGAAGCATGGGAAATCATGGCCTTATCAAATTATAAGGATGCCAGCAGTCAAGCCTTTCCTGCAGTGACAAAAATGAAAGCTCATAGTAGAGGCGGGCAGATCACGAGCTCAGGAGATCAAGACGATCCTGGCTAACACGGTGAAACGCTGTCTCTACTGAAAATACAAAAAAGTAGCCAGGCATGGTGGCACGTGCCTGTAGTCCCAGCTACTCGGGAGGCTGAGGCAGGAGAATCGCTTGAATGTGTGAGGCAGAGGTTGCAGTGAGCCGAGATCGCGACACTGCACTCCAGCCTGGGTAGCAGAGCCAGACTCTGTCTCAAAAAAAAGACCTTGAGGTCCACAATGAATTTCTCTTTTGGGGCAATTGTGAGGAATCTATGTAGCTTTTTTTTTTTTTTTTCCTGAGACAGAGTCTTTCTCTGTCACCCAGGCTGGAGTGCAGTGGCACGATCTCAGCTCACTGCAAGCTCGCCTCCCAGGTTCACGCCATTCTCCTGCCTCCGCCTCCCAAGTTGCTGTTACTACAGGCGCCCACCACCATGCCTGGCTAATATATATATATATATTTTTTTGTATTTTTAGTAGAGACGGGGTTTCACCACGTTAGCCAGGATGGTCTTGATCACCTGACCTCGTGATGCACCCGTCTCAGCCTCCGAAAGTGCTGGGATTACAGGCATGAGCCACCGCTCCCGGCCCTATGTAGCTTTTTTTTTTAGCTTTGTCTTATTCTCATCTCAGGTTTGCCTGCCACAGTTCCCAGCTTGACTTTTCTCTTTGGCCTCGTAGTGATTTGGGGGTTCCAACATTTATTTTTCCTTTCACACTCTCTTAGTTGAGTAGTGCCATATGCATAATTTCAAAATAATCAAGGTGTAAGAAAATGTAACAAACTACTTGGCAATATACACTCCTACCTTAAATCAGGGATTGGGTGATAAAGCTTCCTTCCAAACAGTAAGCAAATTGATGTGTTTACTGAGCACTTATTCTGTGCCAGGCATGCGTTTTCACTTTTCACATGGCCTAAGTGTGTTGAAAGAGCCTTAGCCAAACAGGCTAAGGGATGTGGTAATGTGGCAGGCCAGGTCTCACTAACACAGGCCTCTATAACAACTGTTTCAGCACTGACTGATGGGTTAAGTTAAATATTAAAAGCTGAAAAAGCCAGTGTCCTTATACAAAGGCTGGAATGCAACAAAAGTCCACCAAGAGTTTTCCCCAGGCCTTTCCTGAACCTTAAAAGCATGATTAAACAAGTTTTACTGGGGATCTGAAGAAACTCTTCAGGCCTTCACAAAAAAGTTTCTTAGGGGGTCTGAAGGAACTTCTCAAACCTTTATGATTTAGCAGGTGACAAGTATAATCATCCCAGCACCTGCACCCACTGAGATTAAGCAAATTTACGGAGACTCCAGAGGAAAGTCTTCAGGACTCAGACCTTGCTTGTAGATTAAAAGAAGTATTCACATATGTCTTTAGATGAATGCACACTTACATGTAGATATAGAGCTTAGAAGCTATAGAAGCTCTGGAAAACTTTGTAATTTTGAGTCGGCCTGGCAATAATTTCCAGGCCTTCTCCCTGTAACCGCTTGTAGAAATAAAAACTCTTCCTCCCTCCCTCTGGAGGGAAAACATGCAACTGGCACTTGTACACTCCTAAGGTCAGAGACATCTGACTCTAAGATTGGGGGATGCACAGGTAGGGGAATTCTTCAGACCTCACCCTCTCCAAAGGAGAGGCCCTTGGCAGGGGTTCTGAGGTCTAGTACTAAGCCCTCCTTAGAATTTTCTCTGAATTGCCATACTGCTTGTCCCGAATATTGTTTGGAACCTGGAGTTTGCAGTTGAATGGGAAAGTGGGATGACATTGCATGTATCCAGGTTTTTGTACTGCTGTCTTAAGCAAGGGGCCTGGTTAATGTGTGACACTCTCATTTAGTGCTGTTTGGCCCCAGTACCCTTTGGAGTCGGGGGAGGTTTGGCCTTTAAAAATCTGCCATGGAGACTCCTTCAGCAGAAATTTTGGTTCACAGACTTCACTGAATTATCTGTTCAGGCAAACAGGCTAAAATCAGCAAGCTTATGTTGCTATCTCATGGCTGATGTTCTAAGCTATTGGATCTTTGTTTATGTGTGTGTATACAGGTCTAATGTGTTAATTTATATGTACACTTATTGTCATATGGTGTGTCTACCAAATTGGCTTATAACTAAGAGTGCTCATAAATTAAGTAAATAAGTATAAGCAATTTTCAAGTTCATGTGACTCAAATATAACTTTACTGAACAAGGTGGCTTTAAAATTATTTAAACTAATTTTAAAAATTATTTTAGAATAAAAATAGAAATGCCTTCTGAATTGTCAGCATACATTTTGTCTGAATTTTATGTTTGTCTTTGCTAGCTATTTTAACATGTCAGTGTTTGGCACAGAAGGTTATAAAACTATAAACTCAGCCAAAACAAAATTATCTTGGTTTGCATGCTTTCTGTTGATGAATGAGAGTAACTTATGAAAGGAAAATATTTTGCGCTCCCCAAAATCACTAAGCTGAAGAGAAAATTCAAGCTGGGAATGCTTATGGCCAACCTGCCTTCTATTGTATTCAAACTCACCCCTCTGCTCATTAAGATAAATGCATATCCGACTGCCTACCTCAGAAAGGCTTATCAGAAACTCAAAAAAATGCTACCGTTTGTTTCCCACCTATCTGTGACCTGGAAGTTCCCAACCCCCCTCCCCACTTTGAGTTGCCCTACCTTTCCACATGGAACCAATTTCATTTTACGTGTGTTAATTGATGTATCATGTCTCTCTTGTTCAAAATGTCACATTTGGGAGGCCAATGTGGGCAGGTCACAAGGTCAGGAGATGGAGACCATCTTGTCTAATAAGGTGAAATCCCATCTCTACTGAAAATACAAAAAATTAGCCTGGTGTGGTGGCAGACACCTGTAATCACAGCTACTTGGGTGGCTGAGGCGGGGGAATCACTTGAACCTAGGAGGCAGAAGTTGTAGTGAACCGAGATTACACCACTGAACTGCAGCCTGGGAGACACAGCGAGACTGTCTCAAAAATAATAATAATAATAATTAATAAAGTGTAACAATTGAGTACAATGAATGGAATAAATGTTTTAGGTAAACCCTTTCTGTAAATTAAAATCTTAAAAGTTATTTCCGATGCTCATTTCATATCTGCGTCATTTCCAATTAAGAAAGGGTTGTAGTGTAGGGAAATATGTTCTAAAATTGTGGAATTGTTCTTATCTGTAAATGTCCATATCTGATAGTTCAGAATTTCTTACATTTTAGGGTTTCATAAGAATTCTAGTTAACATGTAATTCTGTATACAAAATGTGCCGGAAAAGGTTATGTTATTAGGATTATGTTATTAGTACCTCCCCAGACTCCAAAGAGACAAAAACAAACAAAAAAATTTTGTCTATTTCAGTAGTTATCCAAAAGGTAGTTCAGATTACAGATTTGAAAAGGTTATTCTTGAAACAATGTGGTAATGAACCATTCAGTAGGTGAGAAAAATGTGGAAAAATTATATTATAAAATATTCTTTAAAACCTGATAAAGAATTGGACACATTTGGCTAATTAACATTTTCATAGCTAAAGCTCTTCATCTTGATTAAAGCAAAGTAAGAAGTATTGTAAAAAATGCACTGGCAATTTGACAGTTCTTTTTTTTTTTTACATACAGTTAAGCCTGAAGCTGGATTTAGTGTGGAGCCAAGTTTCAACATACATGCTTGCATTGCTTCACACTATGTTTACTATTTTATGTGGATAGTGCCAGTACTGGAGTCCTTATTGGTCATGTTGACAGAACAGGAGTATTGCCATCATGAACAAGCACCTCATTTTAAAATTCATCTTAATCAAAAAACAGCCTAAATCCAAAGGACAGCAGCCTAATGGCAAAAGTCAGCATGACCCTAAACCACAAATAACATCTCCAACAAGAAACATTACAAACTCCTCCCCATCCAGAGACACACTAGCCCAGAGATAACCCCCTACTGCCAGAAAGATGTCAGCCCCAAGATAACCTCCCCTCCTCCCAGAGATATTCCAAACCTTCCATAAACTTCTCCCCCATATAGAAACATTCCAAACTTGTAATAAACTCCCTCAGCCTAAAACCAATATATACTCATACAGTTTGTAAGAGAAAGTGCTCCTGACTGAAATTAGCTAGAAGCCCCTCTCAAGTTTTGTCTAAAAAAAAAACAAAAAAAAAAACTGTCTTTCACTGTTAAATTGCATTTCATGTTTCTTCCCTTTTTTTTTAACTCTTAAAAATGTGTTTACAGTGAATTTCTGAATTGCACAGGATGGATGATGATCTTAATAAACTTAAGGACATTGAATTGTGTATCAGGAATAAAATATTATGCATAGTTTTTTGAGGGGGTTCTGGGTAACACTGTAGCCTCCAGAGAAGATTAAATACAAAAACTTCAGGTTGATTTTCTGTTTATTTGTTTTTGCTTCTAGTTTTCATTTGTTTGCTGTTTCCTTCAGATTTTGCTTATGCATGCATATTTATACATATATAACCATGATTTTCTTTTAGGTTCTAGTGGAAGGCTCTTATTTGGTTCTGTGAATAGTTATTTTTGTTTCCTATGCATTTCTATCAAGTCACCCTTTGTACCGTTTATCTGGAATTCCTAAGCTATCTTGGTCAGGCTTACAGGAGTTAATGGAGCACACTAGCCTTTTAACCTTAAGCTAATTTTTTGGGTTTTAGGCTTCTTGATACTTTAAGCATGTTGAATGTACTTTTGTAAATAGAATTTGAAGTAAGAATTTCTTACCAGTCAGTTTGACAGTTCTGGTCTCTTTCTCTCTGTGCAAACCAAAGTCATTGTTTATCTCCTCTGTAATGTTTTAATTACTAAAAAGAGCTTTAATTAATTCGTTTAATAATGAACTTAAATCAAATATTTTGTTTTAAGTAAGTAAAAAGTGTAATGCCTTTTAGTTCACATAACTTTACTAATCTTATAAACAGTTTTAAAGGTTATTGGTAAAATACAAATGTCTTCAAAATGTAAACATGTGGTCTAAATTATGTCCAAATATTAGGTTTGCTAAATGCTTTAAGTTTATAAGCTGCTTCTTTGTCTTTTGAGAATTGTTTAACTTGCCTGCTTTCCAGCTAGGTAAGTCCTGGGGACATGTGGAGTTGGCCACACCCCTAGCTATGCTGGAAACAATCAGATCTTATCAACACCTAGCACATAATTAACATAACAGGTTTTATGTTAAAATTAAATTGCTAAGAATCAACATTGTAACATGCAATTAAGACTGCTAGAAACAGTTTTACATGCAAGGTGTGTAAGAACAGTATAATTTTTTTTTAAATAAAAGGTTATATGAAAGGTTTTCACTTCTTTAAAATTTCCGAGTCATGATTTTGGCAAAATACATAATTTATGGTAATCTGAAATTCAAAAATCTAACTTCAGTTTCAATGTCTTTCCTAATGCCTGGCTTTTTGGATGGATCAGAGAGAGGGCCCCTGAAAGCATCCAGAAGAGAGATTAACAGGATTACTTGACATGCTTAGTTACTTGGGATCATCAAAATGATGTTCAATCTTTATTTTATATTTTGGTGAATAAGACTAATATACATTCCAAAATTGTATGGGATTTCTAAAATTCTAATGTCTAAATATATGCTATCCATTATAATTATGGTTATTCCGGTTTTTTTGTTTTGTTTTGTTTTTGAATTTTGAGTCTCGCTCTGTTGCCCAGGCTGGAGTGCAGTGGCACAGCCTGGGCTCACTGCAACCTCCACTTCCTGGGTTCAAGCAATTCTCCTGCTTCAGCCTCCTTCATAGCTGGGATTACAGGTGCCTGCCACCATGCCCAGCTAATTTTTCTAATTTTAGTAGAGACGGGCTTTCATCATGTTGGCCAGGCTGGTCTCAAACTTCTGACCTCAGGTGATCCACCCACCTCAGTCTCCCAAAGTGCTTGGATTACAGGCATGAGCCACTGCACCCAGCCTTAAGTTATTTTAAATCACAGAATAACCAAATTTTCTTATATAAACCTACTAACCCAAGAACAAAAAATTAAATACCAAGAAACTACCTTGTCAGATTTTCATGTTAAACCAGCTGATACTGAAATTGTTTAAATATACAATTTGAATAAACTCCACAGTCTCAAGTTGCGTTACCTATGATAACCCATTAGTTATCAGTGCTAATGATAAACCCATTTGTTATCAGTGCTATGCACCTAATTTGGAAAATCAACTGGTATTCAAGAGGCAGTAATATTAATTAGGCATGGACTCATGGAGAACCAGCAGGATGGCCACCTTGTCCTTCCCAAGTCTTTAAAGCCTTTATTATTAAAAATTCTGCATTCCATGACTCATCATGGAAAAGATAAAATAATCCAAATTGAATACATTTGTGTGGTAACTTAACAAATTACTAAAATATCTTGTATCCAATGTTTGGTCCCATATTCCTGGGAAAACAAAATTTTAGGTACACTTGGTCAGCTGGTGGGCCATTTAAACACTTTTAAGGGATTTCAATTGTAATTTTCAGTGCATGTTTTCTGGTTATATAAAAGCTTTAGCATGCAAGAGGGTTGATGTTATAACAGTAAATTATTATGCTACAGGGCATTTTCACCAGGTAAGGGAAGTTTTTTTTTTTCTGGCTTCACAATTTTGTTTTATCAATATGCATCTGTGAGCCAGTATTGCATGCATATACATATGCATGTGAGCCAGTATTGCACTATCTTAATGACTCTGTAGTAAGTTTTGAAACCGGGAAGTGTGAGCCCTCCAACTTTGTTCTTTTTGAAAAGTGTTTCGGCCATTCTGAGTCCCTTGCATTTTTGAATTTGAAGTTCAGCTTGTCGATTTCTGCCAAAAAAAAAAAGGCAGCAAGGATTTTGATAGAGATTGTGTTGAATCTGCATGATAATTGGTGGGGCATTGGCATCTTAAAGGCTTAATAATAAGTCTTTAATTTTAAGATAATAATCAATATTATCCATGAACATGGGGTGTCTTTCACTTATCTAGATATTTTTCAACTTATTTTAACAATTATTTAGAGTTTTCAGTGTATAATTTTTACATTTCTTTTGTTAAAATTTTCCAAAGTATTTTATTCTTTTTTATTCTATTGCAGATAGCATTGTTTTCTTAATGTCACTTTTTGGATGTTCATTGCTAATGTATAGAAATACAACTGATTTCTTTATATTTGTCTTGTATAACATAAACTTGCTTAATTAGTTTGTTAGTAGTTGTGGGTTTTTTTTAAGGGATTATTTAGGACTTCTTATGTAGATGATGTCATCTGCAAATAGAGATAGGTCTACTTCTTTCTTTCCAGTATATATGACTTTTATTTCTTTTCCTTTCCCAGTTCCCCTAACTAGAACCTCTAGCACAATGTTGAGTGGAAGTGACTAGCGTGCACTGATCCCTTTCCCGTTATGTAATGCCGTTCTTTTTCTCTTTTGATCTTTGTTGGTTTAAAGTCTGTTTTCTCAGAGACTAGGATTGCAAACTGCTTTTTTTGCTTTCCATTTGCTTGGTGTATGTTCCTCCATCCCTTTATTTTGAGCCTACGTGTGTCTTTGCATATGAGATGTGTCTCATGAATACAGCACATCGACGGGTCTTGAGTCTTTATCCAATTCGCCAGTCTGTGTCTTTTAATTGGGACATTTAGCCCATTTACATTTAAGTTTAATATTGTTATGTGTAAATTTGATCCTGGCATTATGATGCTAGCTGGTTATTTTGTCCATTAGTTGATGCAGTTTCTTCATAGTGTTGATGGTCTTTACAATTGGCATGTTTTTGCAGGGGCTGGTACTGGTTGTTCCTTTCCATGTTTAGTGCTTCCTTTAGGAGCTCTTGTAAGGCAGTTCTAATGGTGACAAAAATCTCTCAGCATTTGCTTGTCTGTAAAGGATTTTGTTTCTCCTACATTTATGAAGCTTACTTTGGCTGGATATGAAATTCTGGGTTGAAAATTCTTTTTTTTTAAAGAATGTTGAATATTGGCTCCCACTCTCTTCTGGCTTGTAGGATTTCTGCAGAGAGATCTGCTGTTAGTCTGATGGGCTTCCCTTTGTGGATAACCCGACCTTTCTCTTTGGCTGCCCTTAACATGTTTTCCTTCATTTCAACCTTGGTGAATCTGACAATTACATGTCTTGGGGTTGTTCGTCTCAAGGAATATCTTTGTGGTGTTCCCTGTATTTCCTGAATTTGAATGTTGGCCTGCCTTGCTAGGTTGGGGAAGTTCTTCTGGATCATATCCTGAAGAGTGTTTTGCAACTTGGTTCCATTCTCCCCCATCACTTTCAGGTACACCAGTCAAATGTAGATTTGGTCTTTTCACATAGTCCCATATTTCTTAGAGGCTTTATTCATTCCTTTTTATTCTTTTTTCTATAATCGTGTCTTTTATCTTTATTTCATTAAGTTGATCTTCCATGTCTGATATCCTTTCTTCCTCTTGATTGATTCAGCTAGTGATACTTGTGTATGCTTCACAGAGTTCTTGGGCTGTGTTTTTCAGCTCCATCGGGTCATTTATGTTCTTCTCTAAACTGGTTATTCTAGCTAGCAATTCCTCTAACCTTTTTTCGAGGTTTTTAGTTTCCTTGCATTGGGTTAGAACATGCTCCTTTAGTTCAGAGGAGTTTGTTATTACCCACCTTCTGAAACCTACTTCTGTCAATTCATCAAACTCATTCTCCACCCATTTTTCTTCCCTTGAGGATGAGGAGTTGTGTTCCTTTGGAGGAGAAGAGGCATTCTGCTTTTCGGAATTTTCAGCCTTTTTGCGCTGGTTTCTCCCCATCTTTATGGATTTATCTACCTTCGGTCTTTGATGTTGGTGACCTTCTGATGGGGTCTCTGAATGGATGTGCTATTCCTTTCTGTTTGTTAGTTTTCCTTCTAACAGTCAGCCCCTCTGCTGCAGGCCTGCTGGAGTTTGCTGGAGGTCCACTCCAGACCCTGTTTGCCTGGGTGTCACCAGCAGAGGCTGCAGAACAGCAATGGTTGCTGCCTGTTCTTTCCTCTGGAAGCTTCATTCTAGGGGGATACCCACCATCGTACAGGAGATGCCAACCAGAGCTCTCCTGTATGAGGCGTCTGTCAGCTCCTACTGGGAGAAGTCTCCTAGTCAGGATACACAGGGGTCAGGGACCCACTTGAGGCAGTAGTCTGACCCTTAGCAGAGCTCAAACGCTGTGCTAGGAGATCCGCTGCTCTCTTCAGAGCTGACAGGCAGGAACATTTAAGTCTGTAGAAGCTGCCCACAGCTACCCCTTCCCCCAGGTATTCTGTCCCAGGGTGATGGGGGTTTGGTCTATAAGCCCCTGACTGGGGCTCTTGCCTTTTTTTTTTAGAGATGCCACGCCCAGAGAGAAGGAATCTAGAGAGGCAGTCTGACCACAGCAGCCTTGCTGTGAAAGCTTTTTACAGTTTGGATCTTCTGAGAACATCAAAGAAAAACTGACCTTGCCATCCACACTACAGCAAAACTTAAGGACCTTGAACTTTAGGTTTATCATCTCACAGCTGAGAAGGGTCCCTCCACACTCTTGGAACTGTACATCCATTGGAACCCTTAAGGTAAAACTAACCAGGGAGGTTTCTCCCCAGAAGAGCATGCTGTCTTTGATGTAAGCAACTTTTCTAAAGTTCACAGATTAAGACTTCTACTATCATGAAACTTATCTTTGAAAATTTTATCTTGCTATGGCTCTATGAACAATAGAAATGGAAAGGAGGTCTCTTATATGCACTTATGGGGTGTACTTTTATTTGTGAATGTGTTTACAGCCAGCCTTATACATGGATAACTTTATACTTTGGTGGATACAAGATAAAGGCCCAATGTCAGTAAGAAACTTTAATGGTACATACATTGCCTCATAATCAATCAGAAACAAAATATTGGTTCATTCCTCTTAACCCACATCATGGGTTAAAGAGAACATTACCAGGAGGCCTTCACTCTTCCTGAAAGGCATCATTTGTTAGGTTTTTCTTCCATGGTTTAAAATAGAAGAAGCAATGATTACAAATGTATGCTCATGATAGGCTGTATAGCAAATTCCACTGTAAAGGATGCAACAAACTTTAAATTCTCTTTTGGAGTTCACACAGAATTGGCAGAACAGAGAAGTATCTCTCCAGTTGCTGGTACTCATGGCCTACTGGAAAAATTCACTGGTAGAAGATTAATGAAAAGACTGCTTAGTTAAGTATGTAGACTCTTTATCTAGCTTATCCTTTGATCTATTTAATCTTAAGTTCTGGTTTGTGGTACCTTAGGTAAAGAGCATACTCCAACTTCTTGGTATTATCCTCCCAATAGTCATGATAATACTCTCCCTGATGTGCTGTTGTTCTCTCAAAGGTTTTAAATGCTTGCCTGCAGCCATCTCTAGAATGGTCTCTCTTCAACTGGAATGACAAGAGCTGAAAGAAATCTGCAACCAGGCCAGGCACGGTGGCTCACACGTCTAATCCCAGCACTTTGGGAGGCCATGGTGGGTAGATCATGAGGTCAGGAGTTCAAGACCAGCATGACCAACATTGTGAAACCCCGTCTCTACTAAAAATACAAAAAAAATTAGCTGGGCGTGTGGCACGCACATGTAATCCCAGCTACTCAGGAGACTAAGGCAGGAGAATCGCTTGAACTGGGGAGGTAGATATTGCAATGAGCCGAAATCACACCACTACACTCCTGCCTGGGCGACAAGAGCGAGACTTCGTTTCAAAAAAAAAAAAGAAAGAAAGAAAAAGAAATCTGCAACATAACCTATGAATGATGTGCTGAGATGGGAAACCCAAAATGATGGTAAATCAGAGTGGCACTAAGGCCATTGTCTCACCATGGCAACCCAAAAAACAGCAGTCACAGTCTAGGTCTTTCCAGAAAGTAAATGTAGAGCCCCTGACAGAACACATTCCTCCTTACAGCACTATAATGCTGGAGAAGTGTCTGCTGCAGCTGCCATTGTTGCTGTTGTTCCATTTGCAACTTCTCAGTCTCAAAGATGACAGCAAGAACCAGGATCATAAAGGAGGTGGTCCTAATTGACAAGGCTGCTATGGAAAACCTATGCATAGTCTTAGCCACAAAGAGTGAAAGATCAAAAGTGGCTTCATCTATGGAGCCATTTTATGTTATTTGATAGCATAAAATTAACATGAAATGAAAATGTAAAGAGATGGGCAGGCATGATGGCTCACACCTATAATCCCAGTGCTTTGAAAGACTAAGGCAAGAGGATTGCTTCAGCCCAGGAGTTTGAAGTTGCAGTGAGCTATGGACCTGCCATTGCACTCCAGCCTGGGTGACAGAGGAACATCCTGTTTTTAAAATAAAATAAAAAAAGATAAAACATAAATAAAATATAAAGAGATGACTTTTCAAGCAAAGGGTCTATTTGGGAAAATACAAGAATTTCAAAGCCAGGTGAAGTGGCTTATTCCTGTAATCCCAGCACTTTGGGAGGCAATGGTGGATCACATGAGACTAGGAGTTTGAGACCAGCCTGGCCAACGTGGTGAAACACCATCTCTACTAGAAGTATAAAAATTAGCCAGGCATTATGGCATGTGCCTATAATCCCAGCTACTCAGGTGGCTGAGTCAGGAGAATCACTTGAACCCGGGAGGTAGAGGTTGCAGTGAGCTGAGATTGTGCCACTGCACTCCAGCCTGGGCAACAGAGCAAAACTCCATCTCAAAAAACAATTACAAATACAAAATTACAGGGCAAGTTAACAGCTAGAAAAAGAAATAGCAGTAAAATACCTTTTAAAAAGCAGACATATGAAATCTCAGTTTTTACATGATTATGACTACGTAAACTGTATTCACTGCTAGACAACATTACGTGTGTGTGTGTGTGTGTGTGTGTATGAATGTGTGTGTTTGTGTGTTTCCTTTTCCTGTGTTTTTGGTGGGTTTAGCACCATGTACACATACATTACCAAGCTCTGAGGTTCATACACACATATTCTTTCAGTATATTGAAACATACCAGAATATGGGTGATACATTTTTAATATCTACATTTATTCATATTATCCTGAAAGCAGACCCCAGGTTCCTGGAGAAGAGAATGTATTAACTATCACCAACTTGCTGCAGTAACTGTTCCAGATCCCGTTTACCCCAATTCTCTCCTTTTCTGAAGAGAAGTGAGGAAAGCTAGTTCCATGTCACTCTACACAAACCATGGTCTGTGCTGTAGATGAGGAACCCAGAAATTTTGAAACTGACTTATGTATACATACACTCTGCCCATTAATCTCCTTTGAGAAGGAGAGAAAGCTTTATACTCTCCAAAATAAGTAGTTTCTTTTTGGGGACTGTCTCTATGGAAAAAAGGGGCATCTGAGTCTTAAAACTCCTGGAATGTCTCCACAGTCTTAAGCTCCATCTGCCTTCTGAAATGTAAAAACACTCCTTCGAAGAGGTGAAATAGTCATAACTACTTATTCAGGAATCTTTTAAGATTGCTGAGATTGTGCCACTGCACTCTAGCCTGGGAAACAGAGCAAGACTCCATCTCAAAAAACAATTGCAAATACAAAATTACACAGGAAAGTAAAGAACTAGAAAAAGAAATAACAAAACCTTTTAAAAAACAGACCATATAAAAATATCAGTTTTTATATGATTATGACTATAAACTGTATTCAGTAGACAGCATTATGTGCGTGTGTGTGTGTGTGTGTGTGCACGTGTGTGCTTCCTTTCCCTGTGTCAAGGCTTGTTCTTTGACCAAGGCCAGTTCTCTGTGAAATTTGTTCAGATAGCCCTAACTATTTAGACATGTAACTGTATTTTTTGTATAGCCTCACATGGGGACTTCAATGTAATCTTTTGGAAGGAAATCCTATTAACACCCTCTGCACGTCCATCCTATGCATGTTAAACCTACTTCAACTGTTTTCCAAATTGAATCCAGAATCCTGCATTATAATAGCTCTGTTAAGGCTTACAATCTCATTTTGATGGAGCATTTCTACCCACATTTCTTGTTAGAGAAATCATTCTCAGTATATAAACTCTAATTCTGGGTATCTTTCATAACTGTTTATTTGATGATTCCTTACTTCTAACCCTCTTGTCTATCTTCCATTATTCTTTTTTCTTATACCAAAGTTAGCCTGCTGGTCTGAAACTCTATTTACTTATCTCTTTTCTCATTTTAAAGTGAAATGGTGACATCCCTGTCTTGAAAAGACATCAATCTGCAAATGTATTTAGAGATTACATGAGGTGTAGTATAACTGTCTCTTCATTAATTTTTGCATAAATTTTATGTAAATTATATGGATTTAGATATAATTAACATTATCTCTACTTATAAATATTTAGGTTTACTTCCCCTGTTTCTATTAAGAACAACTCTGTGAGCATATTACATCTTTGCACACATTTTCTTGTTTCCCCAGGAAAGATTCCATTGTGCATAATTCGAAGTATCAAAAAACATGCATATGTTATTTAAGTTAAAAATTAACTGGAAAATAAACTCATTTGAAAATATAATGCATTCACAAAGTTCAAAAGTTAATGTCCAATACATGTCCAAACATCAAGAAATCCATTCCCATCAAACCCAGTCTAGTAATGCTAGCATATAAAATATTCTAGAAAATATTAAAGTCTTTTATTTTATTTTATTTTATTTTTTTGAGGCGGAGTTTCACTCTTGTTGCCCAGGCTGGAGTGAATGGCATGATCTTGGCTCACTGCAACCTTGCTTTCCGGGTTCAAGTGATTCTCCTGCCTCAGCCTCCTGAGTAGCTGGGATTACAGGCATGCGCCACCATGACTGGCTAATTTTGTAGTTTTAGTAGACATGGGGTTTCTCCATGTTGGTCAGGCTGGTCTCAAACTCCCGACCTCAGGTGATCTGCCTGCCTTGGCCTCCCGAAGTGCTGGAATTACAGGACTTTTATAATATCTTTTGCAATTATATGATAAGTGATGCTTATTATTTACTATTTCTTAATATTTTGGCTATTTTTCTCCTGCAAAACATAATGAATGTTTTGAGAGAATCACATAGCAGGATAACTTTTAACTAAAAAGAAGAAAATCAAGCTTTCAAATAATTAAAGTTAATGTTATTCATAGTCTTAGTGAGAATTACACCCCAGGAAAGTCTTTTGGAAAGTTTTTGTTAGACTACTCCAACACGGTGATTCAACCAAGAGCGATCACCATACCCAGGTGGTGGTGCATCTGTGTGTGCTCAGAAATTTTATCTAATTTTTTTATAAAAGTTACCACTAAAGCAAAATATCATCAAAAGTTTGGGTGCAAGGGTACATCTGGTTATAGATTAAAGAGGTGTAGTCATGAATTCCTGTATCTTATGTACAGGAAGAGGCAAGGGTCAGGGTCATTAGACTTACCTTTTCTAAAAATGCAGTGATTCATGCAACAGGCATGGAAACCCATGATCTGTCCTGCTTATCATTTTCAGGGCATTCTTCCGGAGGGCTGCATTCCATCACGATATGAGGGGCTTCGTAAACTTCTGCAGGCAAGCAGAATAAGCAAGCCTGGCTACTTACATCTGCTACTTTGTCACAACTTAAAATGATATCCTTTATCTTCTAACTTTTACTGGTGTGCCTAATAAATCCATAAGCAAAAGAAGCAGTAGAGTGATATGCATAACACTGACCTCTGATATTAACAACATGTGACAAAACCATAAGTAAATTTTGCCTATTCACCTTGTTAACACAACCTGGTAGAATACAAACTTGGTTACTCTTAGAGGTTTTTGTACTGAAAGAGATAAGATTAAACTTATTACTTTCTAAAATGCAACTGTGTATTGTAGGACTTGTTATAATAAACGTGGATGGGGATTTTGTTTGTCTAAGGGCCAATTAAAATAACACAGAAGAACTTACTTCTGAAAATTTGTTTTCTTGCTTAAGTTCCATCAATAAATACAGTGTGAAATGTTAATTGATATTTTATTTACAAAATGTGAAGCTTGCAGAAATTACATAATCTGTGTCCTCCAAATTTATATTGGGAAATAAAGTGATTCTCAATCACAGGGAACTATAACCATCTGATTGTTATCACTCCTGGAATATAATATGGCTTCTTCCTCTGCTCAAATATGAGTGATTATCTTTTAGTGGCATTTCCCAAACTCCCTGAGGTTGACTTAAAAGCAAAAACTTGACCAGGCACAGTGGCTCATACCTGTAATTCTCAGCACTTTGGGAGGCCAAGGCAGGCGGATCATCTGAAGTCAGGAGTTTGATACCAGCCTGCCCAAGACGGTGAAACCCCGTCTCTACTAAAAATACAAAAATTAGCCAGGCCTGGTAGTGCATGCCTGTAATCCCAGCTACTTGGGAGGCTGAGCCTGGAGAATTGCTTGAACCTGGGAGGCAGATGTTGCAGTGAGCACACCACTGTACTCCAGCCTGGGCAACAGATCAAGATCAAAACAGATAAAAACAAAAACAAAAACAAAAACAAAACAAAACAAAACAAAAAACAAAAACTCTCCTCTCATCCCTTAGTACTTGGATCACTGTGGCACTATTCCATATGTTTAGAATCCAAGTGTTGGACTCTTCTATAAAGGAGCAGGGAAACATGCAGGACCTATTCATTTATGTATGGATCATCAGTGCCTGGTGCTTCTGTGAAAAAAAACAAGGAGTTACATACAGGAAAATACTTAGGAGGATGTATAGATTCTTGTGTTTGCTGTAATAAGTTACCACAAACTTGGTGGCACACAACATAAAATGTATTTTCTCACAGTTCCACATGATACAAAATTCACACATCAGTATCCCAGGGTGGAAATAAAGGTGTTGGCAGGACTATGCTCCTTTCAGAGGCTCTAGGAGAGAATCTATTCCATTTCTCTTTAGCATCTTGTGCTTGCTGCCATTCCTTGGCTGTGGCTGCATACTCCACCCTTGCATCCCTTAGATAAATTATACTTGGACATGATGAACAATCTTTTAAATGTGTTGTTGAGTTAGGTTTTCTCTTCACAATTTTCAAGCATGAAATTGGTTATTAACTATAGTCACCATGTTGTACAATAGATCTCTTAAACTTATTCCTCCTGCTTAACTTAAAAATTATGTGCTCTTTGATTGGCATTTCTCCAGTCCTCCCCACCAATAAGCCTCTGGTAACCAGTATTTTACTTTAAAATTTTAATGTTAAGACTAAAAATGTTGGCAGGGCACAGTGGCTCACACCTGTAATCCCAGCACTTTGGGAGGCTGAGGTGGGTGGATCACATGAGATTGGGAGTTTGAGACCAGCCTGGCCAACATGGTGAAACCCCATCTCTACTAAAAATACAAAAATTACCTAGGCATGGTGGCAGGTGCCTATATTCCCAGCTACTAGGAGGCTGAGTCAGGAGAACCACTTGAACCCAGGAGGTGGAGGTTGTACTGAGCTGAGACTGTGCCACTGCACTCCAGCCTGGGTGACAGAGTGAGATTCCATCTCAAAAAAATAAAAAATAAAATAAAATACCTAGGAATAAACTTACTCAGAGAAGTAAAACACTTCTATAATGAGAATTATGAAACATTGATGCAGGAAATTAAAGAACACACACAGATAGACACACACATACACACGGGCACACACACACACAAATGGAAAGGCATTCCCTGTTGATGGATTAGAAGAATCCATCTTATTAAAATATCCATACTACCCAAAGCAATCCACAGATTCAGTGAAATCCCTATCAAAATACTAATGACACTTCACAACAATAGAACAAAAATATTTCTTAAATTTGTATGAAACCACAAAAGACCCAGAATAGCCAAAGCCATTCTGAGCAAAAAGAACAAAACTGGAGAAATCACATAACTTGATTTGCAGTTATTCAGCAGAGCTATAGAAATCAGACAACATGGTACTGGCATAAAAACAGACACATAGACCAATGTAACAGAATAGACAACCAGAAATAAATCCATACGTCTATAATGAACTCATTTTTGACAAAGGTGTTAAGAACATACATTGGGGAAAAGAAAGTCTCTTTGATAAAAGTGCAGGGAAAACTGGATATTCATATGCATAAAAATGAAACTAGGCTCCTGTTTCTCACCATAAACAAAAATCAAATCAAAATGTATTGAAGACTTTAAGATCTCAAGCCATGAAACTACTGGAAGAAAACATTGGGAAGACTCTCCAGGGCATTGGTCTAGGGAAATATTTCTTGAGTAATACCACGAATCAAAGGCAACTGAAGCAAAAATAGAAAAGTAGCATCACATCAAGTTAAAAACCTTTTGCAGGCCAGGCACAGTGACTCACTCCTATAATCCCAGCACTTTGGGAGGCAGAGGTGGGCGGATCACCTGACGTCAGAAGTTCACAACCAGCCTGACCAACATGGAGAAACCTCGTCTCTACTAAAAATACTAAATTAGCTGGGTGTGGTGGCACATGCCTGTAATCCCAGCTACTCTAGAGGCTGAGACAGGAGAATCACTTGAATCCAGGAGGCAAAGGTTGCGGTGAGCCAACATTGCGCCATTGCACTCCAGCCTGGGCAACAAGAGTAAAACTCTGTCTCAAAAAATAAATAAAAATAAAAAATAAATAAAAATAAAAAGCTTTTGCACAGCAATCCCTAAGGAGCCAATAAAGAGAAGAGGCAACCCACAAAATAGGAGAAAATATTTGCAAACTATCCATCTGACAAGTGATTAATAACCAGAATATATAAGAAGCTCAAACAACACAGTAGAAAAAAGTCTGGCAAGAGATCTGAGTAAAAATTTCTCAAAAGAAGACATAGTAATGGCAAATGGGTTTATGAATACGTGTTCATTATTATTGATTATCAGAGAAATTAAAACCAAAATTACAATGAAATGTAACCTCACCCCAGTTAAAGTGGTTTTTGTTCACAAGCCGGGCAATAGCAAATGCTGGCAAAAATGTGGAGAAAAGGGATTTCTAATACACTGTTAGTGGGAATGTAAATTACTAGAACAACTATAAAGAACAGTATGGATGTTTCTCTGAACACTAAAAATCCAGATTGCTGGATTGTGTGATCCAGCAATCTCACTGCCAAGTATATACCTGAAAGAAAGGAAATCAGCATGTCGAAGACATACTGTCATCCCCATGTTTATTAAAGCACTCTTCACAATACCCAAGATTTAGAAGAAACCTAAATGTCCATCAACAGACAAAACAGGCTGGGTGTGGTGGCTCATGCCTGTAATCCCAGCATTTTGGGAGGCCGAGGCAGGCGGATCACGAGGTCGGGAGTTCAAGACCAGCCTGGCCAACATGGTGAAATCCTGTCTCTACTAAAAATACAAAAAAAATTAGCTGGGTGTGGTGGTGGGTGCCTGTAATCCCAGCTACTCAGAAGGCTGAGGGAGGAGAATCGCTTGAACCTGGGAAGCAGAGATCACGCCACTGCACTCCAGCCTGGACAACAGTGTAAGACTCTGTCTCAAATTAAAAAAAAAAAAAAAAAAAAAAAAAAAAATATATATATATATATATATATATATATATATATATATGCACACATACACACACACACATATATATAATATACATACACACACACACAACTGCATAGTATTCAGCCATAAAAAAGAATGAGATTCTGCCATTTGCAAAAATATGTATAAAACTAGAGGACATTATGTTATGGAAATCAGCCAGGCAGATTTTTCATGTTCTCACACATTTGCGAGAGCTAAAAATTAAAAGAATTGAACTCATGGAGATGGGAAAATCCTTACCAGAGGCTAGGGAGGGTAGTGGGAGGGGGATGATAACAATAAAGAAATGATAAATACTTGAGATGATGGAAACCCAATTTACTCTGATGTAATTATTATACATTGTATGCGTGTATCACAATATCTCATGTATCTCATAAATATATATACGTATTATTTACTCATAAAGTAAAAATAAATACATGCAGCTAGAAGTCTGTGAAAGTCAGTTATATCAATTGGGGCATTCTTGTCACACCCATCACTCAGGACACATACTATTCTTTCTTTTTATTTATTTATTTATTTACTTATTTATTTTTTGAGACAGAGTTTTGCTCTTGTTGCCCAGGCTGGAGTGCAATGGCACAGTCTCAGCTCACTGCAACCTCTGCCTCCCGGGTTCAAGCAATTCTTCTGCCTCAGCCTCCCAAGTAGCTGGGATTACAGGTACGTGCCACCACACCTGGCTGATTTTGTATTTTTAGTAGAGATGGGGTTTCTCCATGTTGGTCAGGCTGGTCTCGAACACCCGACCTCAGGTGATTTGCCCACCTCAGCCTCCCAAGTGCTGGGATTACAGGCATAAGCCACGTGCCCGGCCTATTATTTCTGCCTGCTGTAAGCACAGTCCAGTTTTATGTATCAGCTGCTGAGACAACCTGCTGCTAAACTAATATGAATTCTACCCACCACAATCAGTCACCAATCACAGCTCCCCCAAACTTTACTAGTGCCAGTGAACTTTCTTGAAGAAAATAATGTAACATTTTTCTCTCTCTCACTCTCTCTTTTAAATAAAATCTCTAACCTTCTGTTTCTTCCTCAAACTACCAAAGTTCACCTGGTCTGTGTCTATGCCCCAAATAGCAATTCGTTCTTCCCAAATAGAGTGTTTTAATTTCAGAGAAGTTGAAATATTATATTCTCTCCATATCTCTATATTCTATTTGACCTTGACATGCTTTGTGTCAGAAACAGGATTCCAGAGCTGACTCATTTTGGAGAAAATTGCAGGCCCATACAACTATAATGTGAGGAACTGACACTGGGGCCCTTTGAGCTGCCCTACTTCTGCAGGTTGCCTCTTTCCCCTTGTAATTTTTTCTATTCTAGCTTGATGCCCCAGAATTCTGAAACTATTCTCAGTATTCTTATAAAATTAGGATTATTTACATAAGTTCAATTAAAATATTCTCTATACCAAAATACAATTGAAAACATTTGGTTATATTTCCAAGACTGATTAAAATGTCACTTTTTTTGAGACAGAGTCTCATTCTGTCACCCAGGCTGCAATACAGTGGTGTAATCTCATTTCATTTTCATCTCCACCTCCTGAGTTCATGGGATCCTCCCACCTCAGTCTCCCGAGTGGCTGGAATTATAGGCATCCGCCACCATGCCCAGCTAATTTTTGTATTTTTAGTAAAGACGGGATTTACCACGTTGACCAGTCTGGTCTCAAACTCATGACACTCATGTAACTTGTACATCTCAACCTCCCGAAGTGCTGAGATTATACAAGTGTGAGTCACCACCCATGACCTAAAATGTCATATCTAGATGTTTGAACTGAAGTCCCAACTTTGGTCAAATTCTGTTTTATTTGGACCTGGATAGAGAGGGGTCTTGCCCCTCAGGTGGGAGATCTTTTGTTTGTGAGGACTCTTCTATTCCTGGTTGACTTCAGTCTTAAGGTCCAGGTGAAAGAACTGTTCCCTTTGGATTGAGTTTTTGTTAAAAAAAAAATTCCTTCTTCTTTTTTTTTTTTTTTTAGATGTTGTCTCACTCTGTCACCAGGCTGGAGTGCAGTGGTGCAATCTTGGCTCACTGCAACCTCTGCCTCCCAATTTCAAGTGATTCTCTTGCCTCAGCCTACTGACTAGCTGGGACTACAAGTGTGAGCCACCGTGCCCAGCTAATTTTTGTATTTTTTTTTTTTTGGTGGAGACCGGGTTTCACCAAGTTCGCCAGGATGGTCTCGATCTCCTGACCTCGTGGTTCCCTGCCTTGGCCTCCTCCCAAAGTGCTGGGATTACAGGCATGAGCCACAGTGCCCAGCCAATTTCTTTTTCTTTTTAGTTGGAGAGGACAGCTTATTGTCTTTCCTGGTAAGTACATAGTTTCTTTTCCATCTGTGCTTGCATTTAGTTGGCTTTTGTGTATATGGTATTAAGCCAGAGCAACCCCAAAATGGGTTCTCAAAGTTGAAAGGCAAAATATTTTCTGGGATTCAAACTGGAAACATATTCAAACACTAGAGAGGATATCAAACAGTCTATCATCCTTACAACTACACTAAAAGATGACACGTATAAAATTACACACTCCAAATAAGCAATGTGTATCAGCTAAACAACAACAGACAGCAAAAAGAAAGTGTTCAGAAACAGTAATAAAAACTTCCCCAACCTGTAATAGCACTGGATTTGGCTGGGCATGGCGGCTCATGACTGTAATCCCTGCACTTTGGGAGGCTGAGGCAGGTGGATCACGAGGTCAGGAGACTGAGACCATCCTGGCTAACACAGTGAAACCCCGTCTTTACTAAAAATACAAAAAATTAGCTGGCCTGTTGGGAGGCGCCTGTAGTCCCAGCTACCCAGAAGCCTGAGGCAGAAGAATGGCGTGAACCCGGCAGGCGGAGCTTGCAGTGAGCCGAGATTGCGCCACCACACTCCAGCCTGGGCAACAGAGTGAGACTCTGTCTCAACAAAAAAAAAAAAAAAAAAAAGAAAAGAAAAGAAAAGAAAAAGAAATAGCCCTGGACCAGGGAAATTTACAGCCAAATTCTACCAGGCATATAAAGCAGAGCTGGCAACAATTCTACTGAAACTATTCCATAAAACTGAAGAGGAGGGACTCCTCCCTAACTTATTCTGTGAAGTCAGCATCACTCTAATACCAAGGCCTGGCAGAGATGCAACAGCAGCAAACACAACAAGAAAAACCTCAGACCAATATCCTTAGTGAACATAAATGCAAAAGTTCTCAGTGAAACATTGGCAAACCAAATTCAGCAGCAAACCAAAAAGCTAATCTACCACGGTCAAGTAGGCTTTATTCCTGAGAAGCAAGGTTGACTCAGCATATGCAAATAAACAAATGTGATTCTTGCCATAAACAAGAAAAACCACATGATCATCTCAATAGATACTGAGAAGACTTTTGATAACATTCAACATCCCTTCATAATAAAAATCATCAACAAACTAGGCATTGAAGGATCATATCTCAAAATAATGAGCAATACATAACAGACCCATAGCCAAAATTGTAATGAATGAGCAAAAGCTGGAAGGATTCCCCTTGAGGATCAGAAAAAGACAAGGATGCCCACTCTCACCATTCATTTGTTACATACTACTAGAAGTCCTTGACAGAGTAGTTATGCAAGAGAAAGAAATGAAAGTCATCCAAATAAGAAGAGAGGGAATCAAACTATCTCTGTATGCTGACGATATGATTTTATGCCTAGAGGCCACATAGTCTCTGCCCAAAGGCTCCTAGATCTGATAAACAACTTCAGCAAACTTTCAGGATAAAAATCAGTGTACAAAAAGCAGCAGCATTTCTATACAGCAGTAACGTCAAAGCTGACAGCCAAATCAAGAATGCACTTCCATTCACAGTAGCCACAGAAAGAATAAAATACCTAAGAATACAGCTAACCAGGGAGATGAAAGGTCTTTACATGAGAATTACAAAACACTGCTCAGAGGAATCAGAGCAGACACAAACAAATGGAAAAATGTTCCAAGGTTATAGATAGGAAGAATTAATATCATTAAAATGACCATACCACCCAAAACAATTTACAGATTCAATGCTATACCTATTAAACTACCAATGACAATTTTCACAGAATTAGAAAACAAATTATAAAATTTAATTCTAAAATTCATTTGGAATCAAAAAACAGACTGAATAGTCAAAACGATTTTAAGCGGAAAGAACAAAACTGGAGACATCATACAACTCAATGTCAAACTATACTATGAAACTACAGTAATTAAAACAGCATGATACTATGGAAAAAAACCAGACATATAGACTAATGGAACAGGTTAGCAAACCCAGAAATAAAGTCATACGTCTACAATCATCTGATCTTCAACAAAGCTGACAAAAATAGACAATACAGAAAGATTTCCTATTCAATAAATGTTGCTGGAAAAACTGGCTAGCCAAATGCAGAAGGTTAAACCTGGATCTCAGCCAGACGCAGTGGTTCAGGCCTGTAATCCCAGCACTTTGAGAGGTTGAGGCAGGTGGATCACGAGTTCAGGAGATCAAGACCATCATGGCTAACATGGTGAAACTCCATCTCTACTAAACATACAAAAAATTAGCCAGGTGTGGTGGTGGGCATCTGTAGTCCCAGCTACTCAGGATGCTGAGGTAGGAGAACGGCGTGAACCCGGGAGGTGGAACTTGCAGTGAGCCCAGATTGCGCCACTGCACTCCAGCCAGGGCGACAGAATGACACTCTGTCTCAAACAAACAAACAAAACTAGATCTCTTTTTATTAGCCATATGCAAAAGTTACCCCAGATGGATTAAATGCTTAAATGTAAAACCTAAAACTATAAAGACCAGAGAAGAAAATCTAGGAAGTACCATTCTGGATATTGAACCAGGCACAGACTTCATGACAAGGACTTGAAAAACAATTGCAGCAAAACCAAAACTTGACAAGTAGGACCTAATTAAACTAAAGAGTTTCTGCCCAACAAAATAACCTATAGTAGAGTAAACAGAGAACCTACAGAATAGAAGTTAATATTTGCAAACTACGCATCTCTCAAAGGGGTAATATCCAGAATCTATAAGAAACCCAAACAAATCAACAAGCATACAACAACTTCATTAAAACCTGGGCACGCTTCATTAAAAACTGGGCAAAGGGGTGGGCGCGGTGGCTCATGCCTGTAATCCCAGCACTTTGGGAGGCTGAGATGGGCGGATCACTTGAGGTCGAGAGTTCAAGACCAGCCTGACCAACATGGAGAAATCCCATCTCTACTAAAAGTCTCTACTAAATATACAAAATTAGCCAGGTGTGGTGGAGCATGCCTGTAATCTCAGCTACTTGGGAGGCTGAGGCAGGAGAATCACTTGAACCCAGGAGGCAGCGGTTGCAGTGAGCTGAGATAGCGCCATTGCACTCCAGCCTAAGCAATAAGAGCGAAACTGTGACTAAAAAAAACAAACAAACAAACAAAAACTGGGCAAAGGACATGAACCAACACTTCTCAAAAGAAGACATATACATGGCCAACAAGACATATACAAAAAAATGCTCATTATCACTAATCATTAGGGAACTGCAAGTCAAAACCACAATAAAATATCATCTCATACCACCCAGAACAGCTATGATGAAAATGTCAGTAAATAACAGATGCTGGTGAGGTTGCAGAGAAAAGGGAATGTTTACACACTTGATAATGGGAATGTAAATTAGTTAAGCCACTGTGTAAAGTAGACTGGAGTTTTCTCAAAGAACTTGAACTACTGTTTGACCAAGCAATCCCATTACTGGGGATATACACAAAGGAACATAAATTGTTCTGTTATAAAGACACATGTACACATATGTTCATCACAGCACCATTCACAATAGCAAAGACATGGAATCATCTAGATGCCCATTGATGGTGGACTGCATAAAGAGAATGTGGTACATATATACCATGGAATACTATGCAGCTGTAAAAAAAGAAAAAAGAAAAGTAAAATGATGGCCTTTGTAGCATCAGGGATGGAGCTGGAGGCCAAAATCCTTAGCAAACTAACACAGGAACAGTAAACCAAATACCCCCATGTTCTTCACTTATAAATGGTAGCTATGAATTAAGAACTCCAGGGCCTACTTGAGGAGGATTGAAAAACTACCTATCAGATATCACACTGATTACCTGAGTAACAAAATTATCTGTACACAAAATACCCATGACATGCAACTTACCTATGTAACCAGCTTGCCCACGTACCCCTTGAACCTAAAATAAAAGTTGAAAAGAAAACAACAACAACAATGTTATTTATTTATTTATTTCCTTGCTTATTTATATATTTATTTTTTGAATCAAATTGTCACTCTCTTGCCCAGGCTGGAATGCGGTGGCATGATCTTGACTCACTGAAACCTCCATCTCCAGGGTTCATGTGGTCCTCCCACCTCACCCTCCCAAGTAACTGGGACTACAGGTGCACACACCACACCTGGCTAATTTTTGTGTTTTTCGCAGATAATGTGTTTTGGTATTTTTTGTGGATAATGTGGATAGCCATGATACCATGGCTAACTCTGGTAAATTTGTTTTTTGATTATCCTTCTGGTTAAAAAATGACTACTTTTTTTTTTAAGTGACCTACGAGTTTGTTTCAATCAAGTGTTCTGTGCCTTTTAACATCTTTGGCAAACTTGCCCAAAATCAAATGCTAAATGTAAATCCCTTTAACCTAGAATTAATGTTTGAATTTTCCAGTTGGGCCCCTGAAAAGACTCAAAAGACATATCTCTCACCTTTTGGAGATATTAGATGATTAGGCCTATTTGATAAATTACATAAGAAATGGCTATTGTTTGAATATTTGACCCTCCAAACCTCCTGTTGAAATATTATCCCCAACGCTGGAGGTGCAGCCTAATGGATCATCTTTGGGTCATGGAGGTGGGTCCCTTGTGTACAGATTAATGCCCTTTCTGGGAGAGGACAGCGAATCAGTTTTCACTCTATCATCTCCCTCAAGAGTTGATGGTTAAAAAGAGGCTGGCCCCTCCCTCTCTTTCCCCTTGCCCCTGTCATTTCTCTAGTTCCCTCTCTGGCCATATAATCTCTTCAGAGGCTGCCTCCCCTTTCCTTTCCATGAGTGGAAGCAGCCTGAAGCTGTCACCAGAAGCTGATGTTAATTCCAAGCTTCATATATAGCCCATAGAACTGTGAGCTACATGAACCTCTTTGTAAGTTACACAGAATCAGATATGCCTTTACAGCAACACAACTGCACTGAGACAGAAATATGTAATACTAGATCTTTTTTTTTTTTAGATGTATTCTCAATGTGTCTCTCAGGCTGGAGTAGAGTGGTAAGATATCGGCTCACTGCAACCTTCTCCCCCTGGGTTCAGGCGATTCTTCTGCCTCAGCTTCCTAAGTTAGCTGGGATTACAGGCACCCACAATCACACCCAGCTACTTTTTGTATTTTTAGTAGAGATGAGGTTTTACCATGTTGGCCAGGCGGGTGTTGAACTGCTGACCCTCAAGTGATCCACCTGTCTTGACCTTCCAAAGTACTGGGATTACAGGCATGAGCCTGCGCACCTGACCAATACTAGATCTTCCTTTCATTGCACTTACGGGTTAATATAAATATTTCAAAATTAGGCTGGGCACGGTGGCTCAAGCCTATAATCCCAGAACTTTGGGAAGCCAAGATGGGTGGATCACAAGGTCAGGAGATCAAGACCATCCTAGCTAACATGGTGAACCCCATCTTTACTAAAAATACAAAAAATTAGCTGGGCGTGGTGGCAGGTGCCTGTAGTCCCAGCTACTCAGGAGGCTGAGGCAGGAGAATGGTGTGAACCTGGGATGCGGAGCTTGCAGTGAGCCAAGACTGTGACACTGTATTCCAGCCTGGGTGACAGAGTGAGACTCCATCTCAAAAAAAAAAAATTCAAAATTATATAAATTCATAGATCTCTAATATCAGTCATTATTCTTGTGTTTATCTTAAAATGCTATATGTAAATGAAATATCCAAATATCCTTGTTAACTATAAACTTTCATTAGATTTTTAACCATGGCTACTCTAAGCCAACATGCAAATTCAGGAAATACAGAGAACACCATTAAGATATACTACAAGAAGATCAACCCCAAGACACACAATCATCAGATTCTATAAGGTCCATATGCAGGAAAAAATGTTAAGGGCAGCAGAGAGAAAAGTCAGATCACCTCCAAAGGGAAGCTTATCAGACTAACAGTGGAATACTCAGCAGAAACCCTACAAGCCAGAAGAGAGTAGGGGTCAATACTCAACATTCTTAAAGAAAAAAATTTTCAACCCAGAATTTCATATCTGGCCAAACTAAGCCTCATAATCAAAGGAGAAATAAAATCCTTTTCAGACATATGAGTGCTGGAAGAATTTATCACCACCAGGCCTGCCTTACAAGAGCTCCTAAAGGAAGCACTAAATATGGAAAGGAAACACCAGTATCAGCCACTGCAAAACACATGAAATTATAAAGACCAATGACAGAGTGAAGAAATAGCATCAACTAGTGTGCAAAATAACCAGCTAGCATCAAGATGACAGGATCAAATTTACAAATAACAATATTAGCCTTAAATGTAAAGGGCTAAATGACCCAATTAAAAGACACAGCCTGGGAAACTGGATAGAGTCAAGACCTGTCGGTGTACTGTATTCAAGAGTACACACTTTACTCAGAATAAAAGGATAAAGGAAAATGTATCAAGCAAATGGAAAGCAGAAAAAAACTAGGGGTTGCGATTGTAGTCTCTGATAAAACAGACTTTAAGCCAACAAATATCAAAAAGACAAGTGTGGTCCATTCCAAAATGGCTGAATAGGAAGAGCTCTGGTCTGCAGCTCCCAGCATGATCAATGCAGAAGAGAGTGATTTCTGCATTTCCAACTGAGGTAACTGGTTCATCTCATTGGAACTGGTTGGACAGTGGGTGCAGCCCATGGAGGGTAAGCTGAAGCAGGGTGGGGCATCGCATTTCCTTTCCTAGCCAAGGGAAGCCATGACAGATTGTACCTGGAAAATTGGGACACACCTGCCCAAATACTGTGCTTTTCCAACAGTCTTAGCAAACGGCATACCAGCAGATTATATCCCATGCCTGGCTCAGCAGGTCCCATGCCCATGGAGCCTTGCTCATTGCTAATGCAGCAGGCTGAGTTCTACCTGCAAGCAGCAGCCTGGCAGCAGGAAGTGTGTCCACCATTGCTGAGGCTTGAGTAGGTAAACAAAGAGTCTGGGGAAGCTTGAACTGGGCAGAGCCCACCTCAGCTCTGCAAGGCCTGCTGCCTCTGTAGACCCCACCTCAGGGCAGGTCATAGCTGAGCAAAAGGCAGCAGAAAATTCTTCAGTCTTAAACGTCCCTGTCTGAAAGCTCTGAAGAGAGCAGTGGTTCTCCCAGCATAGTGTTTGAGCTCTGAGAATGGACAGACTGCCTCCTCAAGTGGGTCCCTGAACCCCATGTAGCCTAACTGGGAGAAACCTCCCCTTAGGGGCTGACTGACACCTCATACAGGCAGAAGACCCTCTGGGATGAAGCTTCCAGAGGAAGGATCAGGCAGCAATATTTGCTGTCCTGCAATATTTGCTGTTCTGCAGTCTCTGCTGGTGATACCCAGGGAAACAGGGTCTGGAGTGAACCTCCAGGAAACTCCAACAGACCTGCAGCTGAGGGACCTGACTGTTAGAAGGAAAACTAACAAACAGAAAGGAATAGCATCAACATCAACAAAAAGGACATCCACACTAAAACCCCATCTCTAGGTCACCAACATCAAAGACCAAAGGTAGATAAAACCACAAAGACAGGGAGAAACCAGAGCAGAAAAGCCAAAAATTCTAAAAACCAGAGTGCCTCTTCTCCTCCAAAGGATTGCAGCTCCTTACCAGTGATGGAACAAAGCTGCACAGAGAATGACTTTGATGAGTTGACAGAAGTAGGCTTCAGAAGGTTAGTAATAACAAACTTCTCTGAGCTAAAGGAGGATATTCGAACCCATCGCAAGGAAGCTAAAAACCTTGAAAAAAGATTAGACAAATGGCTAACTAGAACAAACAGTGTAGAGAATAGCTTAAATGACCTGAAGGAGCTAAAAACCATGGCACGAAAAATATGTGACACATGCACAAGCTTCAGTAGCTGATTCGATCAAGTGGAAGGAAGGGTATCAGTGATTGAAGATCAAATTAATGAAATAAAGTGAGAAAAGAAGTTTAGAGAAAAAAGAGGAAAAAGAAATGAACAAAAAGACTCAAAGAAATATGGGACTATGTGAAAAGACCAAATCTACATTTGATTGGTGTACCTGAAAGTGACGGGGAGAATGAAACCAAGTTGGAAAACTCTTCAGGATATTATCCAGGAAAATTTCTCCAACCTAGCAAGTCAGGCCAACATTCAAATTCAAGAAATATGGAGAACACCCAATGATATTCCTCAAGAAGAGCAACCCAAGACACTTTAACTGTCAGATTCACCAAGGTTGAAAGGAAGAAGAAAATGTTAAGAGCAGCCAGAGAGAAAGGTCAGGTTACCCACAAAGGGAAGCTCACCAGACTAATGCGGATCTCTCTGCAGAAACTCAACAAGCCAGAATAATCAACATTCTTAAAGAAAAGAATTTTCAACCTAGAATTTCATATCCAGCCAAACTAAGCTTCATAAGTGAAGGAAAAATAAAATCCTTTACAAACAAGCAAATGCTGAGAGATTTTGTCACCACCAGGCCTGCCTTACAAGAGCTCCTGAAGGAAGCACTAAACATGGAAAGGAACAAGCGGTATCAGCCACTGCAAAAACATGCCAAATTGTAAAGATCATCAAGGCTGTGAAGAAACTGCATCAGTTAACTGGCAAAATAACCAGCTAACATCATAATGACAGGATCAAATCCACACATAACAATATTAACCTTAAATGTAAATGGGCTAAATGCCCCAAATAAAAGACACAGACCAGCAAATTGGATAAAGAGTCAAGACCCATCTGTGTGCTGCATTCAGGAGACCCATCTCATGTGCAAAGACACACACAGGTTCAAAATAAAGGGATGGAGGAAGATCTGCCAAGCAAATGGAAAGCAAAAGAAAAGCAGGGGTTGCAATCCTCGTCTCAGATAAAACAGACTTTAAACCAACAAAGATCAAAAGAGTTTAAACCAACAAAGAAGGCCACTACATAATGGTAAAGGGATCAATTCAACAAGAAGAGCTAACTATCCTAAATATATATGCACCCAATACAGGAGCACCAAGATTTGTAAAGCAAGTCCTTAGAGACCTACAAAGAGACTTAGACTCCCACACAATAATAATGGGAGACAAAATTATTATTTTGTGTGACAGTGGAGACTTTAACTCTCCACTGTCAATATTAGAAAGATTGAGACAGGTTAACAAAGATATCCAGGACGTGAAATCAGTTCTGCAACAAGCAGACCTAGTAGACATCTACAGAACTCTCCACCCCAAATCAACAGAATATACATTCTTCTCAGCACCACATCACACTTATTCTAAAATTGACCACATAGTTGGAAGTAAAGCACTCCTCAGCAAATGTAAAAGAACAGAAATCACAACAAACCATCTCTCAGAGCACAGAGCAATCAAATTAGAACTCGGGATGAAGAAAACTCACTCAAAACTGCACAACTACATGGAAACTGAACAACCTGCTCCTGAATGACCACTGCATAGTGAAATGAAGGCAGAAATAAAGATGTTTTTTAAACCAATGAGAACAAAGACACAATGTACCAGAATCTCTGGGACACATTTAAAGCAGTGTGTAGAGGGAAATTTATAGCACTAAATGCCCACAAGAGAAAGCAGGAAAGTTCTAAAATCAACAACCTAACATCACAATTAAAAGAACTAGAGAAGCAAGAGCACATTCAAAAGCTAGCAGAAGGCAAGAACACATTCAAAACACATTCAAAAGCTAGCAGAAGGCAAGAAATAACTAAGATCAGAGCAGAACTGAAAGAGATAGAGACACAAAAAACCCTTAAAAAAAAAAAAAGTCATGAATCCAGGAGCTGGTTTTTTGAAAATATCAACAAAATAAATAGATCACTAGCAAGACTAATAAAGAAGACATGAGAGAAACATCAAATAGATGCAATAAAAAATGATAAAGGGATATCACCACTGATCCCACAGAAATAAAAACTACCATCAGAGAATACTATAAACACCTCTATGCAAATAAATTAGAAAATCTAGAAGCAATGGACAAATTCCTGGACACCTACACTCTCCCAAGACTAAACCAGGAAGAAGTTGAATCCCTGAATAGACCAATAACAGGCTCTGAAATTGAGGCATTAATTAATAGCCTACCAACCAAAACAAGTCCAGAACTAGATGGATTCACAGCTGAATTCTACCAGTGGTACAAAGAGGAGCTGATACCATTACTTCTGAAACTATTCCAATCAGCAGAAAAAGAGGGAATCCTCCCTAATTCATTTTACAAGGCCAGCATCATCCTGATACCAAAGCCTGGCAGAGTCACAATAAAAAAAGAGAATTTTAGACCAATATCCCTGGTGAACATTGATGCAGGAATCCTCAAGAAAATACTGGCAAACCAAATCCAGCAGCACATCCAAAAGCTTATCCATCATGATCAGGTGGGCTTCATCCCTGGGATGCAAGCTTGGTTCAACATATGCAAATCAATAAACATAATCCATCACATAAACAAAACCAATGAAAAAAACCACATGATTATCTCAATAGATGCAGAAAAGGCCTTCAACAAAATTCAGTAGCCCTTCATGCTAAAAACTCTCAATAAACTAGGTATTGATGGAATGTATTTCAAAATAAGAGCTATTTATAACAAACCCACAGCCAATATCATACTGAATGGGCAAAAACTGGAAGCATTCCCTTTGAAAACCGGTACAACACAGCAATGCCCTGTCTCACCATTCCTGTTCAGTATAGTGTTGGACGTTCTGGCCAGGGCAATCACGAAAGAGAAAGAAATAAAGGGTATTCAATTAGGAAAAGAGGAAGTCAAATTGTCCCTGTTTGCAGATGACATGATTGTATATTTAGAAAACCCCATCATCTCAGCCCAAAGTCTCAAGCTGATAAGCAACTTCAGCAAAGTCTCAGGATACAAAATCAAAGTGCAAAAATCACAAGCATTCCTATACAGAAATAACAGACAAACAGAGAGCCAAATCACGAGTGAACTCCCATTCAAAACTTCTACAAAGAGAATAACATACCTAGGAATCCGACTTACAAGGGATGTGAAGAAACTTTTCAAGGAGAACTACAAACCACTGCTCAATGAAATAAAGTAGGACACAAACAAATGGAAGAACATTCCATGCTCATGGATAGGAAGAATCAATATAATGAAAATGGCCATGCTGCCCAAGGTAATTTATAGATTCAATGCCATCCCCATGAAGCTACCAATGGCTTTCTTCACAGAATTGGAAAAAACTACTTTAAACTCCACATGGAACCAAAAAAGAGCCTGCATTGCCAAGACAATCCTAAGCAAGAAGAACAAAGCTGGAGGCATCATGCTGCCTGACTTCAAACTATACTACAAGGCTACAATAACCAAAACAGCATGGTACTGGTACCAAAACAGAGAGATAGACCAATGGAACAGAACAGAGGCCTCAGAAATAATACCACACATCTACAACCATCTGATCTTTGAGAAACCTGAGAAAAACAAGAAATGGGGAAAGGATTCCCTATTTAATAAATGGTGCTGGGAAACCTGGCTAGCCATATGTAGAAAGCTGAAACTGCCTCCCTTCCTTACACCTTATACAAAAATTAATTCAAGATGGATTAAAGACTTAAATGTTAGACCTAAAACCATAAAAACTGTAGAAGAAAACAAAGGCAATACCACTCAAGACATAGGCATGGGCAAAGACTTCATGAGTAAAACACGAAAAGCAATGGCAACAAAAGCCAAAATAGACAAATGGGATCTAATTAAACTAAAGAGCTTCTGCACAGCAAAAGAAACTACCATCGGAGTGAACAAGCTAGCTACAGAATGGGAGAAAATTTTTGGAATCTACCCATCTGACAAAGGGCTAATATCCAGAATCTGAAAAGAACTTAAACAAATTTACAAGAAAAAATAAACAAACCCATCAAAAAGTGGCAAAGGACATGAACAGACACTTCTCAAAAGAAGACACCTATGCAGCCAACAGACACATGAAAAAATGCTCATCATCACTGGCCATCAGAGAAATGCAAATGAAAACCACAATGAGACACCATCTCATACCAGCTAGAATGGTGATCATTAAAAAGTCAGGAAATACCAGATGCTGGAGAGGATGTGGAGAAACAGGAACACTTTTACACTGTTAGTGGAAGTGTAAACTAGTTCAACCATTGTGGAAGACAGTGTGGCGATTCCTCAAGGATCTAGAACTAGAAATACCATTTGACCCAGTGATCCCATTGTTTGGTATATACCCAAAGGGTTGTGAATCATGCTACTATAAAGACATCTGCACACGTATGTTTATTGCGGCACTATTCACAATAGCAAAGACTTGGAACCAACCCAAATGCCCATCAATGATAGACTGGATTAAGAAAATGTGGCACACATACACCGTGGAATACTATGCAGCCATAAAAATGGATGAGTTCATGTCCTTTGCAGGGACATGGATGAAGCTGGAAACCATCATTCTGAACAAACTATCACACAGACAGAAAACCAAACACCGCATGTTCTCACTCATAGGTGAGAATTGAACAATGAGAATACTCGAACACAGGGCAGGGAACATCACACACTGGGGCCTGTCATAGGGTGGGGGCTGGGGGAGGGAAAGCATTAGGAGAAATACCTAATGTAAATGACAAGTTAATGGGTGCAGCAAACCAACATGGCACACGTATACCTATGTAATAAACCTGCATGTTGTGGACACATACCCTAGAACTTAAAGTATAATTAAAAAAAAAAGTATGACCAACACAAATAGTGGGAAAAAAAGACAAAGAAGGGCATTACATAAAGGTAAAGGGATCAATTCAACAAGAAGAGCTAACTACCATAAGTGTATATGCAGCCATTACAGGAGCACCCAGATTTATAAAACAAGTTATTAGAGACCAACCAAGAGAGTTCAATTCCCACACAGCAATACCAGACTTTAACGCCCCATTGTCAATATTAGACAGATCAACGAGACAGAAAATTAACAAAGATATTCAGGACTTGAACTCAGCTCTGTACCAATTGGACCTAGCAGATATCTACAGAACGCTCCACCCCAAATCAACAGAATATACATTCTTCTCAGTGCCATGTGGCACTTACTCTAAAATCGACCACATAATTGGAAGTAAAACACTCCTCAGCAAATGGAAAAGAACTGAGACCTTAACAAAGAGTTTCAGACCACAATGCAATCAAATTAGAACTCAAGATTAAGAAGCTCACTCAAAACTGCACAACTACATGGAAGTTGAACAACTTGCTTCTAAATAACTCCAGGGTAAATAATGAAAAAATTAAGGCAGAAATTAAGAAGCTCTTTGAAACCAATGAGAACAAAAAGACAACATACCAGAATCTCTGAGATGCAGCTAAAGCAGAGTTAAAAGGGAAACTTACAGCACTAAATGCCCACATCAGAAAGCTAGAAAGATCTCAAATGAACACCCTAACATCACAATTAGAAGAACTAGAGAAACAAGAGCAAACAAATCCATAAGCTAGCAGAAGATAAGAAATAACTAAGATCAGAGTGAAACTGAAGGGGACAGTGACACAAAAAACCCTTCAAAAAATCAATGAATTCAGGAACTGGTTTTTTGGAAAAAAAAAAAAAATCACACACACACACCCAATAAGATAGACTGCTAGGTAGATTAATAAAAAAGAAAAGAGAGAAGAATCAAATAGACACAATAAAGAATAATAAAAGGGATATCACCACTGACCCCACAGAAATATAAACTACCACCAGAGAATACAATAAGTGTCTCTAGGCAAAAAAACCCTAGAAAATCTAGAAGAAATGGATAAATGTTTGGACACATGCACCCTCCCAAGTCTAAACCAGGAAGAAGTAAAATTTGTGGATAGACCAATAACAAGTTCTGAAATTGAGGCAGCAAGAAATAGCCTACCAAACAAAAAAAGCACAGGACCAGATAGATGGATTCACAGCTGAATTCTACGAGAGGTACAAAGAGGAGATGGTACCATTCCTTCAGAAATTATTCCAAACAATTGAGAAGAACGAACTCCTCCCTAACTCATTTTATGAGGCCAGCATTACTCTGATACCAAAATCTGGCAGACACACACACACAAAACAAAACTTCTGGCCAATATCCCTGATGAACTTCAATGTGAAAATCCTCAATAAAATGCTAGCAAACAGAATCCACCAGCACATCAAACACTTATCCCATGATCAAGTCGGTGTCATCCCTGGGATGCAAGCCTGTTTCAACATATGCAAGTCAATAAATATATTCCATCCCATAAACAACCATTGACAAAAACCACATGATTATCTCAATAGATGCAGAAAAAGCCTTCGATAAAATTCAACATACCTTCATGTTAAAAACTGTCAATCAACTAGATATTGGTGGAACATATCTCAAAATAATAAAAGCTATGACAAACCCACAGCCAATATCATACTGAATGGACAAAAGCTGGAAGCATTCCCTTTGAAAACTAGGACAAGACAAGTATGTCGTCTCTCATCATTCCTGTTCAATATCGAATTGGTGGTTCTGGCCAGGGCACTCAGGCAAGTGAAAGAAATAAAGGTATTCGAACAGGAAGAGAGGAAGTGAAATTGTCCCTGTTTGCAGATGACATGATCCTATATTTAGAAAACCCCATCATCTCAGCCTAAGAACTCCTTAAGCTGATAAGCAACTTCAGCAAAGTCTCAGGATACAAAGTCAATGTGCAAAAATCACAAGGATTTCTATACACCAACAATGGACAAGCAGAGAGTCAAATCAAGAATGAACTCCCAATCACAATTGCTACAAAGAAAATAAAATACCTAGGAACACAGCTAACAAAAGATGTGAAGGACCTCTTCAAGGAGAACTACAAACCAAAGCTCAAGGAGGTAAGAGAGGACACAAACAAATGGATCGTGTTTGTTTCCATCCTCATGGATAGGAAGAATCAATATGGTGAAAATGGCCATATTGCCCAAAATAATTTACAGATTCAATGCTATTCCCATCACTGACATTCTTCACAGAATTAGAAACAACTATTTTAAAATTCATATGGAACCAAAAAAGAGCCCATATAGCCAAGATAATCCTAAGCAAAAAGAACAAAGCTGGAGGCATCACGCTACCTGACTTCAAGCAATACTACAAGGCTACAGTAACCAAAAGAGCATGGTATTGGTACCAAAACAGTCATATAGACCAATGGAACAGAACAGAGACCTCAGAAATAGCACCACACATGTACAACCATGTGATCTTCAGCAAACCTGATAAAAACAAGCAATGGGGAAACAATTCCCTATTTAATAAATGATACTGGGAAAAACTGGCCAGCCAAATGCAGGAAACTAAAACTGGAACCCTTCCTTACACCTTATACAAAAATTAACTCAAGATGGGGATTAAATACTTAAATGTCAAAGCCCAGACCATAGAAACTCCAGAAGAAAACTTAGGCAGTACCATTCAGGACATAGGCATGGGCAAAGATTTTAAGATGAAATCACCAAAAGCAATTGCAACAAAAGCAAAAATTGACAAATGGTATAAAATTAAACTAAGGAGCTTCTGCACAGCAAAAGAAACTATTATCAGTTTGAACAGGCAACCTACAGAATGGGAGAAAATTTTTGTAATCTACTCATCTGACAAAGGTCTAATATCCAGAATTTACATGGAATTTAAACATATTTACAAGAAAAAGTCAAACAACCTCATCAAAAAGTGGGCAAAGGATGTGAACAGACACTTTTCAAAAAAGGCATTTATGCAGCCAACAAACATTAAGAAAAGCTCAACATTACTGATCATTAGGGAAATGCAAATCAAAACCACAAAGAGATAACATCTGACACTAGTCAGAATGGCAATTTTTAAAAAGTCAAGAAACAACAGACGCTGGTGAGGCTGTGAAGAAATAGGAATGCTTTTACATTGTTGGTGGGAATATAAATTAGTTCAACCATTATGGAAGACAGTGGGGAGACTCTTCAAGGATCTAGATTCGGAAATACCATTTGACGCAGCAATCCCATTACTAGGTATATGCCCAAAGGAATATAAATTATTCTAATAGAAATGTACATGTACACATATGTTTTTCACAGCAGTATTCACAAGGGCAAAGAGACGGAACCAACCCAAATGCCCATAATGATAGACTTGATAAAGAAAATGTAGCACATATACACCATGGAATACTATGCAGCCACAAAAGGGAATGAGATTTTGTCCTTCACAGGGTCATGGATGAAGCTGGAAGCCATCATCATCAGCAAATTAACACAGGAACAGAAAAACAAACACTGCAAGTTCTCACTCATAAATGGGAGCTGAATAATGAGAACACATGGATACATGGAGGGGAACCACACACACTGGGGTCTGTGGTGGGGAGAGGGGAAGGGGAGGGAGAACATCAGGATAAATAGCTAATGCATGTGGGGCTTAAAACCTAGATGATGGGTTGATGGATGCAGCAAACCACCATGGCACACATATACCTATGTAACAAACCTGCACATTCTGCACATGTATCCCAGAACTTAAAGTAAAAAGTAATTTTTTAAAAAAAGAATAACTGACAATGTTTTTATGACTGTTATTTGAGACATCAATGATCCTTTACTCAAATGTTTTTACTCAGACTTAAAGAAATTTTCTATCTTAACCTATCCATAACTTTTTACAATTTGGTAAAGTACACTTTTATTAACAAAGATAAAAATATTTTCTTTTCCCTTTTCTATTTTGATTCCTGAAAATTTCAAACTATTTATGAATAGTCCTATGGAAATATGGTTATTTGCCTAAGTCTAATAAAAATGTGCTCTCTCTTTGTAGCAGAATACGACTGAAAACATGGGTTATACATTTGAGTACAATTCCATATAAAAGTATACATAAAATGTGTGACTTTGAGGGTCTTGCAATACGTAAATAAAAACTGTCACTTCTTGTCAGGTTCATGATCCCTAAAGCTGTAAGCAAAACCTAAAGTCTGCCTTGGTTTGGGTTTCTAGCCTCAATAAGTTTTTAATCTGATATTCCTATATGAAAATGTAAAAAGAAGAAAAAAAGCTATGATACAGCTGTTACTAGATTGTAGCTGTGTATATTGTCTAGAGCCCTCCAATCCACATTGGTTCCATAAAACACGGAAACAGAAATTGCGGTGTTCCTGAAGTCTTATAAGCTGATTATATACATATATATACATATATACGTATATATGTATATATGTATATATATATTTTTTTGATATGGAGTTTTGCTCTTCTTGCCCAATCTGGTGTGCAATGGTGCAATCTTGGCTCACCACAACCTCGGCCTCCCAGGTTCAAGAGATTCTCCTGCCTCAGACTCCCAAGTAACTGGCATTACAGGGATGTGCCACCGCGCCCAGGTAATTTTGTATTTTTAGTAGAGGTGGGGTTTCTCCATGTTGGTCAGGCTGGTCTCGAACTCTGGACCTCAGGTGATCTGCCCGCCTTGGCCTCCCAAAGTGCTGGGATTACAGGCATGAACCACTGTGCCTGGCCCAGACACATGTTTTTAAAAACAAGTCTTCTGCATGATACATGAGGCAGCAAATCACAAAATAAATAGATTTGCATTAGCTGCACCAAGAGTTTACCAAACCACCCAATGCCATCACCAGAGACATTCAAGACAAGACAAAAAGTTGACATTTTCCCACACTGTACAGAACTTTTCCTAAGACATCAGAACAAGACTTTAAATCAGAATGAGACTATCACCCCGCTAATGCTACCTTCTTCTTCATTTGGCAGGATAAAATTTTCCAGTCAGTAACTGCTATCGGTAATTCAACAAAACCTGGCATAAGGAATCCTTTTAGTCCACCTAGTGGCCAACTGAAAATACCAGTATCACAACTTTTTGTTCAAATCATACTAGTGGGTCCCTTTTTATAAAGCTGGTGTTCTTTGCTTTAAGTCAATCTAGTCATAAGATCTACTAAACAACTAACACAGATTTCATCCAATTTACCCCACAGGCTTTTTATTTGTCTGGCTTTTTGCTCTTAGTCTTAGGATCTTAGTTTAAAACCGTTAAACAAACTAAATTTATAATATTACTATTAATTATTTTTATATATTTTTTTAAACTTTGTTTTTATTGCCTGTCTAATCCTCGTAAAGCCAACTCTCCTACAAAGATAAAGTTCTCGGGTGCAGTGGCTCACGCCTGCAATCCCAGCACTTTGGGAGGCTGAGGAGGGTGGATCACCTGAGGTCAGGAGTGAATTCAAGACCAGCTTGACAAACATGGTGAAACCATTTTTACTAAATACAAAAAATTAGCTGGGCATAGTGGATCATGCCTGTAATCCCAACTACTTGGGAGGGTGAAGCAGGAGAATCACTTGAACCTGGGAGGTGCAGGTTTCAGTGAGCCAAGATTGTGCCATTACACTCCAGCCTGGGCAACAAGAGTGAAACTCCATTTCAACAAAAGAAAAAGATAAAGTTAATGCAACACTTTGAGACAGTTGCTGATGCTTATCGACTAATAAGACAGAACTTGATGCTGGACTCCAGACAGATTTGCTTGAGAAAATGTTCCCTTCTGGCCTCAAATGTGACCTCCATAATGTTCCCCTCAACATGACTGAAAGCAACCAGGACAGGTCCATCCAGATATTAATGGACAATTAAGCCTAACTTCAAAATGGTTGATCAGCAATGCTTTCAGAGAAAGGTCTTTATCAAAATGGAAAAACGTAAAAGTTGATTATACAAGTTGGGTCACTCGTGATAGCCAACTGAAACAGAGTTGAAAGGCTGGGGTTTGTGGGGCCATAATGGGTGAGGAAACAGGTTACATAACATTGTTCCAGACTGGCTGTGGTGGCTCATGCCTGTAATCCCAGCACTTTGGGAAGCCAAGGCTGGCGGATCACTTGAGGCTAGGAGTTTGAGACCAGCCTGGCCAACATGGGGAAACCCTGTCTCTACTAAAAATGCAAAAATTAGCTGGGCATGGATGCACACACGTGTAATCCCAGCTACTTGAGAGGCTGAGGCAGAATTGCTTGAACCTGGGAGGCAGAGGTTGCAGTGAGCCAAAATTGCACCACTGCACTCCAGCCTGGGGACAGAGCTAGACTCTCTCTCAAAACAACAACAGCAACAAAAGATTGTTCCAAGAATGTAACTCTCAGCTAGCCTGGCTACTGAAACAACTTGCTAAAAATCTAAGACTAGTTTTATGCACCACCATCAGCTTGCTTGCCAGCTCTCCAAAACCTGAATAGTGCCAATGAACTTTCTCAAGGAACAATACACCATTTCTCTTTTTCTTTTATAAAATCTTAAAGCTTGTGTTTGTTCATCAGACATACTGATGACCACACTGTCTGCATGTAGGCACCAGATTGCAAGTCTTACTTCCCAAATAAAACGTTTTTATTCAGAGATTCATCTTCACATTTTCAACAGAGCAAAACAAAATCACACAATGAATTTATAAGCATCTCAAATAAGAAAAGGTGAGCCCAGACAAAATATAGACAGAGACAGTTTTTTGTTTTGTTTTGTTTTGTGTTTTTGAGATGGAGTCTTGCTCTGTTACCCAGACTGGAATGCAGTGGTGCAATTTTGGTTCACTGTAACCTCTGCCTCCCAGGTTGAAGCAATTCTGCCTCAGCCTCCCAAATAGCTGGGATTACAGGTGTGCACACACGCCCAGCTAATTTTTGTATTTTTAGTAGAGACGGGGTTTCACCATGTTGGCCAGGCTGGTCTCGAACTTCTGCCCTTGTGATCTCCCTGCCTTGGCCCCCCAAAGTGCTGGGATTACAGGCATGAGCCACCGCACTCAGCCAGAGACAAGGTTTTTATCTAACAGGAGTGTGTGTGTGTGTGTGTGTGTGTGTATTTGTGTGTGTGTTAACAAGAATAAAAGACAATCCAGATATCAAACTGCTAATCATGCAAACTACTTCAAATGAATTCACATTTAAGCTATAGTCCTGCATCAATCACTCAATAATGGGGATACCTACTGAGAAATGCATCATTAGGTGATTTCCTCATTGTAAGCACATGATAAAGTGTATTTACAGAAACCTAGGGGGTGTAGCCTATTACACACCTAGGCTGTATGGTAGAGCCTAGCACTCCTAGGCTACAAACCTGTAGAGCAAGTTACTGCAAGAAATCCAGTTGGCAATTGTAACCCAATGGTGAGTATTTGTGTGTAAACATGGAAAATATACAGTAAAAAATATAGTAGAAAACATGAAAAAAAGTAATACAGCTATACAGGTAGGATACTTGCCATGATTAGCACTTGCGGGCTGGACGTTGCTCTGGGTGAGCCAGTGAGTGAGTAGTGAGTGAAGGTGAAGGCCCAGGACCCTACTGTGTAATACTGTATGCTTCACAAACACTTAGGCTACACTAAATTTATGTTTATTTTTTTATTTTGAGACAGAGTCTCGCTCTGTCACCCAGGCTGGATTGCAGTGATGCCATCTTGTCTAACTGTAACCTCTGCCTCCCAAGTTCAAGTGATTCTCCTGCCTCAGTCTCCCAAGTAGCTGGGATTACAGGCGTGAGCCAACATGCCCAGCTAATTTTTGTGCTTTTAGTAGAGACGGGGTTTCACCATGTTGGCCAGGCTGGTCTTCAACTCCTGACCTCAAGTTATCTGCCTGCCTTGGTCTCCTAAAGTGCTGGGATTACAGGCATTAGCCACTGGGCCCAGTCATTAAATGTAATTGTTAATCAACAACAAATTAATCTTAGCTCACTGTAACTCTTTTTACTTTAGAAGGTCGGGCGTGGTGGCTCATATCTGTATTCCCAGCACTTTGGGAGGCCAGGCGGATTGCTTAAGCTCAGGAATTTAAGATTAGTCTGGGTAACATACTGCAATGCTGTCTCTACAGAAAATACAAAAACTAGCCAGGCATCGTAGGCAGAGCCTGTGAACCCAGCTGCTTGGGAAGCTGAGATGAGAGGATTGCCTGAGCCCAGAAGGTCAAGGTTGAGGTGAGCCTGCACTCCAGCCTGTGTGACAGAGTGAGACCCTGTCTCACTAGAAAAAAAAAAAAGCGAGAAAAAGAAAATAATGCCATTTTGAAGTTACAACTGCAAACAGTGATGCAATCCGATACCTTGCTTGGGTAGCTGATGGTTTTGCCTCAGGTCATGAGAAATCTTTTTTTTTTTTTTTTTTTGAGATGGAGTCTTGCTCTGTCTCCCAGGCTAGAGTGTAATGGCATGATCTTGGCTTAGTGCAACCTCTGCCCAGGTTCAAGCAATTCTCCCGCTTCTGTGTAATCCCTCAGTGGCTGGAATTACAGGCGCATGCCACCACACCCGGCTAATTTGTGTATTTTTAGAGACCGGGTTTCACCCTGTTGGCCAGGCTGGTCTTGACCTCCTGACTTCAGGTGATCTGCTAGCCTCGGCCTCTCAAAGTGCTGGGATTACATGTGTGAGCCACGGTGCCCAGCTGAGAAATCTTAATTCAGTCAAAACAAACACAGAGCTGGCACCATACCCATGACTTGGGACCACCCCAGAAAAAAGTTCATCAACCATAGTTGTGAAAAAGATCCGAGGAGACATATTTCTACCAGAGCTGGTAAAAGATCAATGGCAAATGTTATTCAGCATTCCCCAAGATCTTCAGCCAAGAGATAGGACAATTGAATATGGACTGGACTGGCAACTTCCCACAGATTAGATAGGGTATTTCTTGTCAGAAAGTAAGGAATCCCCTGGGCAGCTACAGTGCCCTCTATTGATCCTGTTGGAGTTTGGGCCAAAACGTTCCACATACCAGGACACCAGAATACAGCCCCTTTGGTCAGCTGTTTAATACGGTTGTTTGATGTTGCTTATAGATAACTTCACCCCTCAGGCAAAATGCTTGGTATGTACTCCCAGCCCATAATCCTCAGGCTGCCAATATTCTAATAATGACTGAGATAAAAGTTCCACTGTCATTTTGTTTGATGGGAAAGAACTGCTCTGCCAAGTACCTACAAAACACTGCTATTTCGGCCCATAATCTTCTGTTCTTCTTCTCTGACCTATGAAAGGAAAAATGAACCTCTTCCTACAGAGGGCTCAACATTATGCTGACAACTTACAGAAGAGGCCTGCTGGGTTTGCATTTTGTTACCCTTCTCAACACTTCTCGTCTGCCTTGGTGGGCATCGTCTATGCAGGAAAACGACTGGCAACACTTAAAAAGCATTCATTAAAGCTCTTCAACATTAGAACAGCACATTAGCTGGTATGACAGGGGATGATGTGATTAATTGACCTACTGATAAGACTCATTTCAGTAAATGCCACACAAGAATGTATAATAGGCTGGGTGCTGTGGGTCACACCTGTAATCCCAGCCCTTCGAGAGGTCAAGGCGAGCGGATCACAGGGTGAAGAGATTGAGACCATCCTGGCCAACATGGTGAAACTGGGTCTCTACTAAAAATACAAAAAATTAGCTGGGCGTGGTGACATGTGCCTGTAATCCCAGTTACTCGGGAGGCTGAGGCAGAAGAATCATTTGAACTCATGAGGCAGAGGTTGCAGTAAGCTGAGATTGCGCCGCTGCACCCCAGCCTGGCAACAGAGCGAGACTTTGTCTCAAAAAAAATAAATAAATAAATAAATAAATAAACAATAATAAAAAAAGCGTAATAGCTAGCCTATCCTACCCTATATTCTAAAATTCAAAAGTAATGGTTTTTGTTATGAAATCTCGTAAGTCTTGCCATAAAGAGAGTTTTCTTCAAATTCGGGTGACACCAACTGCAGGGCACTTAACTCAGTTGGTGCCCCTATGTTAATAATAAGGGAACCACACCCATGACTCATAACCCACCCTTACTCTGGGAGTAGCGTCAATACATTATAATCCTGCAGGCCATGCACTCACTTGCTACAGACCGGTCCTGATGATCCAGCTTAAACTGGTGTGCTCCAAATGGTAGTGAATGATTACATGAGTGGCTCTAATCTCTGTCCTTGGGTACCACAAGGTTGGCTAGAATGCTGCACTTTAGGTTCTCCATGGGTCCAAGGATGATGGACAAATTTAGTTGGCAGACCTGCTAATCTCCTACATGTGATTAATAGCTAGACAAGAGCTATTTTTCATTGGAATGATCATTTAGCACCATCTTTGGGCATTAAAGACATTACCTATTAATGGCATGTAGAAGCTCTCACTAAGAATATTCAGCAGGCTCTCAATGAAAGTTTCCAAAGTATTTCTTGAAAGAACTCTGAAATATACCTCATGTATACACTGTTTGGTGAAATTGCACAGCACTGGATATCTTAATTGCTGCACAATAGAGAACCAGTGCAACAGGTTATTATAACTGAATGCTGTTTATATATTCTAGATAATTCTGACAACATAATGGTAGCCCTGCAAGACATGAAAAGCCAGATAACTGCAATGTTTGACCCTACCCTCCCTTTATCCCACTGGCTTTCTCTTTGGTTTAGTTCTGGGGGCTTACAATGGCAAAAGCAGTTAATAATTCTTGTTATTGTTTACATTGCCATTGTGGCCTTTTCTTGAAACTAGAACATAAATTTATTAATACAATGTCCGGCACTGGATGCCTCCTTCTAAAGTCTCAGGGACCATCTCAGAAGAGGTCAGCACATGACATTGGAACAGCTGAATTAGAGGTAGAGTGTGGGGACAAGAATTACTTTAGTTTAAAATCTGAATCTGGCTAACATTGAGTCTAGAAATAACCTCCAAAATGTCTAGTTTTTGTATTACTCTTTATGTAGAAATATCTATTAATTGTTAAGTTTCCTCCCAAATAACCCCTGTTGTTGTAGAAATTATAGGCTGTCATGCCTGCAGCTAACTACACATTCCTTCCTGAGCATGTATTCTTTCTTCCCCAAGATATATGCCATGGATATGGGAGATTGCGATGCAAATATCTACCTGTCTAGTGGACACCCAAGACCACTCGGCAGTGAGCCGAGATCACACCATTGCACTCCAGCCTGGGCAAAAAGAGCGAAACTCTGCCTCAAAAAAACATACAAACAAACAAAAACACATAGCTTTCTGTTTCTTTGGGTCTTCATTTTTGAAGGTTCTCATGTCATGTAAAACATTTACTAAATAAATATGAGTGTTATTCTCGTTTATCTGTCTTTCATCATAGTGTGTCACCTATTGGCTTTGTTGACAGGTGAGAAAAATATATTACTTTTTCTCTCTCCTAGGTTGGGGGCAACTCCCTACTAATGTAAGATTTTGAAAGATGCAAAATGTTCATCTCACATCACAATCGTAACAATGTACATGCAGCCAAAAATAACAAAGAGTTTCATGAATCACATTTTCACTGGGACTTGTATATTAATACCATTGCTTTAGACTTCTCCTACATCATTACTTTAGGGTAAAAACATTTAAATGGAGCATGAAAAGAAATTACTCACCGTAAATAAGCCTAGTTATAGTTTTATTTTAACCAACAATTTTTTCGTGTTCTTCATCTGTAGCTTCTTTGTGACCTGAACAAGGTTTGAGTAGAAATAACTTCTCCCAAAAAGCCAAAAGGAATTACAAAGAGGATTAGCAAAAGAAGAAGCCCTATTTCTTTTAAAAGCTTGCAATATTAAGTGCCTTCTTGCTGGTATAGATTAAATACAAATATAATAAAGCAAATGTAAGTGATATTATAAATGAGAAATTAGATATAACCAAAGCTATGAGAGAGGCAGTAAAAACTAATTACAAGACGCTTATAATAACTTATAACAATTAAAATTATTTGAAAATGGAAAGTAAGTATTGTTTTTACCACAAAATACAAACTACTAACCATCATAGATCAGACAAAGACTTACCACTTTTTAATTACCAGACTCAAACAATTGTTTTAGCCTTTTTCTAATCAAATTTCAAATAACATATAATTGCTAGGTAATACAAAAATTTGAAAAGCCCGGAATTCCTCAGATTTTTCCTGTTGTGGTTATTGGATACTTGCTGCAGGTTTCTGCATAAAGGCTATTTTACAAACAAGCAACATTTTTTAGCAGTAAGATACTAAAGCCATCGTCATTCAAAGAAGGCAAAAACGGGCACAAATTATAATAATCATTGTTATATTATTGTTTTGAAGGTTAAGATAAAAAGGATAAATGCAATTTTAAGTCCAAAATCAGGAAAGTATTTTTGAAATGTATGACAGCTAAAGGATAATATCTCTTAACTATAAATCACTAAAGGAACAATATTTTTCAGAAGAAAAATAGAACTATTCATGATTTGACCAAGCCTTTGGACACTAAACAAAATATTTCAAAACATTAATAAAAAGAAAGCAGTCTCTAATCTTAATGCAACAGACTGAGAAAAAATAATGTACGGAAGGGTACAACAGAATGCTTCCATGAGGTATCTTTAAAAACTGTTTCCTAAAATGGTTCTTGGTCAAACAGCTGCTGGCTCACTAGACAAAGAGGAGTGTAGTTAGCCTTGGACAAAAAGGAACTGAAGGAAGACCCTGGAAAAGATCAAAAGTGACCTTCATTTTATGGAGAGAAACAAGCTATAACATGTAGTATCTAAGCTGATTAGAAGAACTAAAAAGAGAAGCTCATACTTGTGCATCAGAAGGTAAATGAAAGAGTGAAGTTACCTCTTTGTTTTAAGGAAGAAAGGAAAATTGTGGATGTCATCTGTTTTCTGTTTACATATTTCAGGCATGGATAGCCACAATGTGATTTTAAGACGGTTAGTTACAACTGATTTGAAAAAAAAAAAAAATGCTTCACTCTATGAGAAATTTCTTCCCAAGTATGAAACCTTGTTTTTACAGGCAATTTCCTATACTTTGAAAAAATCAAAATAATAAAGTAAAAGAAAAATAATTCAGGTGAAGTTAGAGAAAAAAACAGGCAGCATTATTTTAAAGTTGTAAACTATTTTGTTTACTTATAGTTTAATTTACATGTAGTAGATATGCATTTGTAAGGTTCTTCGGCTCAGGTAGGAGATCATTCTATTTCCCACTGCACCCTACTTCATCCTCCCACTGGCAAATAATTAGATTATCCCTGGGAAAAAAAGATGCCAGTAAAATTGATCATGTTTAAATGCATCAGTTGCTAGGTGATTTATCTGATTAAGTCTTGAAACAGTAGAACCTAGCAATTAAAGTGAGCATTAACTTCTACCTACCAAATCAGAAGACTATTCTAACTTTTTGAGAATTAGATGTTGAAAATATGGCCCATGAATTTAGCATGGTTAAAATAAAAAACATGCAAACAAAACAAACCCAACATCTTGAAAGGACATTTGACTCTAAAGTCCCAAAAATAATCACAAGTCTAAAAATCCTAAGTTTAGTGTTACTCTATTACACCTTTTTATTTGTAAGTGTCCTTTCACAAAAGTTTTAAATTTTGCTCTTGTGCATTTTATTTACCTTTTCTTTTGTTGTTTGTGTCTTTGGTGACCTGCCAACCATTAGACTTCAAAAAACAGCCTATAGCCAAGCTGCAGGATAAATGAACACATAAGTTGACTTAGAATAGTCAACTCTGTCTAGTATACAATTTATGGGGGATGGTTTATGACCACATATATTTCTACTTTGATGGGAATATCTTGAGATAAAATTAGAGAGAATGAGTGGAGTAATATTCACAACATTTTTGCTGCATTCATCCCTGAATTTGAAGAAATACCAAAGTACATCTTGTGAGGAGAAAAAATAAATAAATTCATATAAAATGTTGTGGGTTTTATTCTTTATGCAGTGGTAAACTGTGTTTGCATACACCATAGCAATTAAATTAGGGCTACAAAGGGTATTTAACTAATGAGCATAAAATACCTTAATGTACCTCAAATGCAATTAATTGCATTGGACCAATCTAAGTTACTATTCTTCAGTTTTCATTTTTATTTCATTATTCATTTCATTTTTATTCTGATATAAAAATGAACCAGGATCTGTGTGAAATTATTTGAATCTAATGTCTTTGAACATTTTTCTTACCATACCTTAAGATTAAAAAAACAAAAAAAAATCCCTTAGTTTGGCAACTTTTGCTGTTGGTTAAGCCCGTTTGGATTTAACATTGACAGGACCAGCTAACTTCCTACCAGTTAACATTGCTTGTGGGCCTGACTGATGTAAAAATATTTAACAACTGTTGAGAAATAGTCATCAGTGAATCTTAAAGGTCGTACTCATATAAAACAATATAGCGCTTTAACTTTTTATTTACTGAATTTGAGAGAAAGGAATAGTGTTCCAGAAACTGGGATCACTCAGGCGCTCAGGGAAGCATATGGTTAGCTGATGATATAAAGGCCCAATATTGGAAGAACTGTTAATGTAGTCCCCTGGAGACAGTGAGTGAATTATTAGCCCTGGTTGAGAGATTAAAATGTGTTGATATGATATTATAGAGGCAAATTTAATGCTCTCGGCCTCCCCCTGCATCCTTATTTTTGCATGTAGGTTTATTACTTTACAGGAGAACCAACACTTTTTTCCTTTTTTTTTTTTTAAGTGGTTGAGTTTGTTTTTCTGAACCCAGAGGCATGTTTACACATTTCATTAATTTAAGTACCAGAGAAGTATACTGAGAACCTACTACATGTCACACACTATCCTAGGAGCTGTAGACAGAAAAATAATAAAATCTCGTGTCTTTATTTAAATTTTGTTGACTGCCACCCCCAAGTGAGTCTCCTCACACACCCCGTCCTGTAATATATGCATCTGGGAGGTCTTTTTTGCCTTCTTAAAAACATATAGATGGTTGGACATATGTATATAAGAATATAAAATTCACCACTTTATCTTTTGTGAATGTGTGCTGTGAAGAACTCCTTTACTGGGGTGATGGAACCAGTGGCTACAAAGTAAGGAGCTGGTTTACTGCTGTAAAGGGTTCGCGGCTTTGAATTTCAAGCTCTGGTTCTGTGTCCTTGGGCACCTGCGCGTGAATCGTTGCCGCGAGGCTGGGCCAAGTTAAGGCCCCACGCAGTTTGGCTTCCGGGCCAAGGAAGCCCCACAGGGTGCCCCACAGGGTGAAGCCCCATGCCCTACAGGGTGAAGCGGCTGAAGCTGGTAGTGGTTCCGAGGAAGCGGTCAAAGTCCCGCTCCAGAGGTTCCTCTTCTTGGTTGTCACTCCCGGAACCCCGCCAGGGGTCTGGCTTCCCCATCGACACCTCCTCCTGTTCAGTCACCATCACGTATCCCACGAGGCCGGACGGCACTGCCACCTCGTCGCCCCGTAGACTGCGGCCCCGAAACTACACTTAAGAGTCCCTCGGGGCCCTGGCGGATGGCAGGCGTGATGAAGCGCCACACCGTGGTGGGCCGCAGGGTATCAGGTGTAGTGTGGCGGGGGCGGCGTCCTGCAGTGTGGCTGGGCGCAACTGGACGCTGTACCTCTCCATAGCCGCCTAGTCGCCGCTCTCCATCCTCGCTCCTGTGCGACGCCACTTTATCCCTCTTAAACTGGACGATTCAGTAGTACCGGGGAACGAAGGCAACAAGACCTAACCATAGCAACAACATTTTGTTTTTGAAACCCATCTTGCAACTGCCTGACTGCAAAATGTACTTGCAGATTCTGCAGACAAAAATTGCTGCCACTTATTAAAAGACTTCATAGTGAAAACTGACTTTTTACCCAAACCACTGATTCAAGGACTTTTGCGTAGAAACTCATGAACTGTTAAGATAACCCTTCATTACCAATTAAGATAATAGGTTGTAAGTAACCTAATGAGTACCAACTTTCTCTTATTTCCTTTAAAAACTGTCTCTCAAAACAGCCGGTCACGACACAATGTCAGATGCTTCTGGAATCTGTTTCTCTAATTACAGTTCTAAAACTGCCAACAAACTCCTTATTTGGACTTCAGTTTCTCTGACTCTTTGGTTCACCATGTTGTGCAGCCATCACCTCTCTCTAGTTCCAGAGCATATTTTATCAATCCTCAAAAGAAACCGTGCATCCACCAGCAGTAACTCCCCACAACCTCTTTCATCCAGTCCTTAGCAACCATTAATCTGGTTTTAGTCTCTATTCATTTGCCTTTCCTGGATATTTCATATACATGGGATCATTCAGTATCTGGCCTCTTGTATCTGACTTTTTCACACAGTGTAACATTTTCAAGGTTCACCTATGTGGTGCCTTGTGTCATTTTTTGCTATTTTCATGTCAGGTTTTGAAATGGTATGTTTTTTCTCATCTTGTAAGGGATTTCCTGTTGTAGAAAATCTGTTTCTGTGTATGACTGCAATTTAACCATTTTATTTGCTATCCAGATACATGTTTTAACTTGAGCCAACTATATTTCCACTTTGTATAATGAATACTAAATTTTGTATCTTAGATACTAAACTTTAGTAGATAACTAGGATACAAATTACAGTTTTCATATTTTTCTTTTCATGGAATATAATTTTTTAAAGTTTCTGATATTAATTCATTATAACATTTACTGGACAAACCAACCACATTTGGTTCTATGAACTCTTTTCATATTTTACGGGATTTTTATTTTGTTGTCTTAGGAATTGTGGCATCATTCAGTTTTGCTGAGAGTTTATTTTTATTAATAGGTTCTGTGTACTATGCAACCTGTAGTTGTTACTCCTGTTTTGCAAATATGGCATTAAAACATTGGTGAGTGGGGGGACTTTCCTCCCATTTTATTTCAGCAAAGAAATCTTGTCATTTCTCTTCAGACTTTAAGATTTATTGAGGAGAGTTATTCACTTGTTTAGTCTGGTAAACTGTGACCTTTAAATTTTGAAGGAGGTTGAACTAAAAGGTGAAATATGATAAATTGATGGCTCTATTTGTTGTGAATGGAAATTTAATTTAGACTTGTAAAAGATTGTTTTTTAAATTGCTAATTGTGTGACAGTGAAGAGAATGACTTCAAAATATCCCACTATACAATCTGCAAAGAAAAGAATTGTGTCCCCTTTTTAGTGTAGCTTAACACTTCACTGAAACTGTTTTGAGTTCTTAGGTCATATTTTTTTTTCTCTAAACGAAACAATTACTTTTCTAAAAGTCAAATGTTAGCCATCCTAGAAGTTGGGCATAAAATACTTGTAAGTATATGCTAATATTCTGATACTTAATGCCTGTGAAAAATGTGTATAGAATTTTCAATTTTTAAATAGAAGTGAAGAAAAAGCGATAATAATTACTATAAATTCAATATGCAGTTATGTATGTATGTGTGTGGTTAAGACAATTAGGTTCTCATTAAGCTTTGTTTTTTTAAAGATAACATACACATATATTGATAATGATAAACAATTCATATAGCTTTTTGTGTCCTCTCGTTTTGTGACATAAAAGGTCAATGAAAAAATTGGCGATTAAGTCAAATTCGCATTTTTCAGGACAGCAGTAGAGCAGTCAGGGAGGCAGATCAGCAGGGCAAGTAGTCAACGTTACTGAATTACCATGTTTTGCTTGAGAATGAATACATTGTCAGGGTACTAGGGGGTAGGCTGGTTGGGCGGGGTTGAGGGGGTGTTGAGGGCGGAGAAATGCAAGTTTCATTACAAAAGTTAACGTAACAAAGAATCTGGTAGAAGTGAGTTTTGGATAGTAAAATAAGTTTCGAACTCTGGCACCTTTCAATTTTGTCGCACTCTCCTTGTTTTTGACAATGCAATCATATGCTTCTGCTATGTTAAGCGTATTCAACAGCGATGATTACAGTCCAGCTGTGCAAGAGAATATTCCCGCTCTCCGGAGAAGCTCTTCCTTCCTTTGCACTGAAAGCTGTAACTCTAAGTATCAGTGTGAAACGGGAGAAAACAGTAAAGGCAACGTCCAGGATAGAGTGAAGCGACCCATGAACGCATTCATCGTGTGGTCTCGCGATCAGAGGCGCAAGATGGCTCTAGAGAATCCCAGAATGCGAAACTCAGAGATCAGCAAGCAGCTGGGATACCAGTGGAAAATGCTTACTGAAGCCGAAAAATGGCCATTCTTCCAGGAGGCACAGAAATTACAGGCCATGCACAGAGAGAAATACCCGAATTATAAGTATCGACCTCGTCGGAAGGCGAAGATGCTGCCGAAGAATTGCAGTTTGCTTCCCGCAGATCCCGCTTCGGTACTCTGCAGCGAAGTGCAACTGGACAACAGGTTGTACAGGGATGACTGTACGAAAGCCACACACTCAAGAATGGAGCACCAGCTAGGCCACTTACCGCCCATCAACGCAGCCAGCTCACCGCAGCAACGGGACCGCTACAGCCACTGGACAAAGCTGTAGGACAATCGGGTAACATTGGCTACAAAGACCTACCTAGATGCTCCTTTTTACGATAACTTACAGCCCTCACTTTCTTATGTTTAGTTTCAATATTGTTTTCTTTTCTCTGGCTAATAAAGGCCTTATTCATTTCAGTTTTACTGGTATTTCATTTTAAACTTAATTTCAAGACAAGTTGTGTCAACACGATTAACATGCAAAGAAATAAGACATCCAGAAGTGAGCCTGCCTATGTTTGTGGCCGTCAGAGTACTAACTTGATACAAACGGACACTGTGGCTTACTTTAAATGCTCTAATGAGAAACACACTTGAAAATTGTACCAAAAAAAATCACACTTCTATATGCAGCGTGTTAAGCAGTCCTCTCTAGACCGTGTATTCATTGGTCTTTCAGCTACTTTGTACGTGTCTATAAATTGCAGGTAACTAAGGAATGGATATGTAAGCAGGATCAAACTTGTTTCTTTCTCTCCCCTTCACGCTGTGGAAAAAACCAGTTTTACCTCCACTTGCAATTCAGTTCCTTTACTCCATATAAATCCAAACGGTTGACATTTCCTTTCAACTAGTTATAAAATGCCTCTGGTAAAACAAAATATTTAATTCCTTGTCATTTTTGTATCTCTATGAAACTTATCATTTTGCCTTTCTTCTGAAAACTATCTTTTAAAATGGCAATCTACTTGTTTCCATGGCCTATTAACTTTTAAGCCTGTGGAATGAAAAATACAGAATTTTCATTCTCAACAGGAATGTTGAGAACGCCGACTACCCAGATTATGGAGATGGAAGGGCGGGGGCTGGTGACCCAACTGGTTTAATTTGATGGGATTTAAATAAAAATGTAATGCCAAGACTTCATAAAATTTGCACATAAGCTAAAGCAGGAAACTAGAAGTTTACAAATAACTGTAAACCACAGTTTAAAGTATAAATTACAAATAAATTTTTCTACAATAAAAATAAATCAAAAGTCAAAATTAATGGTATGTATCAAAGTCAGCTTTCCAATATTTCAAAACTTTTCAGAGACATTACCTTAAATAATAAAACTCAAACACTAAAAGAGTGTATATTAGAGATGGATGTCATGTTTCTCAAAGTTCAGGGTTTAAAAAAAGCTTTATTCCAGAGACAATATTACTTAATCTGAGCTTTATGCCAAATGAGAACTGTATATTGCCCATTACCTTTTAAACACTGACTCAAAACTACTTTGTAATATTTAAAACCACTCTTTTCACTCTCCCAAAAATAACACCCATTCTGACCTTCATTACCATACATTAATTTTCCTTTTCTTGAACCTCTGACACAGATTCTCTGTTTGACCAAACTTTAGTCAGGTTTCTGAACCTTCTCCTAGACTCGCCTGTGCACTTCCTTGCCAAACTCAGTTTTGGCAAAGAACTCTCCTAAGCCAGGTTAGCCAGACTGTACCCCCACCGCATATCTGATCACACTCAACACTTGATCGATCACCCTCAATATCTGATCAGGTTTCTCATCCTCCACCACCCTCTAGGTGATGTCTGATCAGCCTAGCCTGTCTTCAGCAAGAATCCTCCTTATCTATGATGTCTTCTCTTAGTGATTGTCCATCCATTGACCCTACTCCCTGCTCCTTGGCTATAAATCCCCACCTACCCAGCTGTGTATGTGGAGCTAAGGCCAATCTCTCCCCCAGTGCAAGACCTCATTGCTGTGCTGTTGGTCGTGAATAGTCTTCCTTATCAAGTTTGAACAAGTATCACTGAATACCATTTTTCCTTAACAATGTGAATAAATATAAATACAAAATATTATGTGGAGCTTCTTTTGCTTAATACATTTTGGTGGTTTTCAGATTATTAAAAATTATGACATCATGCATGTATACATTTTGGAAAGACTAAATCAAGCTAATGTATCTACTACCTCATATACTTCCCTTTCCTTTTGCACTGGGAACATTTAAATTGTATTCTCTTAGCAATTTTCAAGCATACAATACATTCTTATTACCTATATTCAACATGCTTTACAATAGATCTGAACTAATTGCTTCTATCTAGATGAAATATTATAATTTTTGAATAACAATACTCATCTCTTCACCTGACCCTACTAGAGGGTAGCCACAATTCTACTCCCAAAAATATGAAAGACTTCACATTTGAATACCCTCCTGGCCCAGGGACAGTGTTATTCTTCTCCATACCATTCTAATTTTAGTGTATATGCTGCCCAAACTAGAATTTTTAAGAAAAAATTGTTGTGCGTATTTCATTCTATTTTTGTTGGACAAATGAATGGACACTTACTGGTTTCAATTATTACAAACAGTGCTTTTTTATACATTCTTATACATGTACAATGGAGAACATTTATAAGAATTTCTGTGAAGCACACTCCCAGGAGAGGAATTGATACTTTATGTATGGTTTACTTAGGAATTACTGAAATGAAGCATTTTTGTATTTTTGTGATGTTTAAACAAACATCAATAAACAAACAAATTCTAACTATAAGTATCAAGTGTGCTTTGGCTGCCAATGGATGTTTGCTATATTTTAAAATGCCAACACTTAAAATACATTAAGAGGGAGCTTGGTACTGAATAAAGAACACAGGCTCTGGAAGGTAAACCCTTCAGCTTTGGCTCACTTGAGTGCCACTTACAGGCTTGAGCTTGAACAATTTACTTCGCTGTCTGAGTCTCAGTTTTTTCAATTCTGTAATAATTTTGTTAGTTGAAATGCTATTTACTAATAAAACCAACCCATGAAGAGATGTGAAGGCTACATGAATTAAGGTACACAAGCATTAAATAAGTGAGTGTATATAAGAAATACTTAGAACAGGCTGGGAGCAGTGGCTCACGCCTGTAATCCCAGCACTTTGGGAGGCCAAGGTGGGTGGATCACGAGGTCAGGAGATTGAGATCATCCTAGCTAACATGGTGAAACCCCGTCTCTACTAAAAATACAAAAAATTAGCCAGGCTTGGTGGCGGGCGCCTGTAGTCCCAGCTACTTGGGAGGCTGAGGCAGGAGAGGGCTTGAATCCAGTAGATGGAGCTTGCAGTGAGCCAAGATGGCGCCACTGCACTCCAGCCTGGGCGACAGAGCAAGACTCCATCTCAACAAAAAAAAAAAAAAAAAAAGAAAAGAAAAGAAAAAAAGAAATACTTAGAACAGACATCAGCATTAGTGAAGAATTAACTAAATATTTGCTATTATTAACCTGAAAGTAATTGCTCCATCTAAAAAATATCTTAGTGAAGAGTAATGTAGATATTCATGATTGATTAGACATTATTTCATTAGGCATTGAAGTGGGTAATGTTTTTCCCAATGTCACGATTTTACTGATGTGAAATACATTAATTTTCCATATTTGTTCCAAATCTGTTCCACAAAGATTTGTTTCTACAAGGTGTAGAAACAAAAGGTAGTTATCAGAGTTCTAGTATTTCAAGAAATTTAATTAATATTTTATTTCATATTGGACTATGTAATAATGTCAAGAGTAAAAATCTTCATGAGATATTGTGCACAGATCTTTTATTTATAGATGCATGAACTTTGGCAAATGCATATGCCTGAGTAACTATCACCCCAACTAGGTTACAAGCTATTTACATCATTCCTTCAACCCTTAAAATTTCCTGTGCCCTTTTGCAATTCCTCTGTCAATTGCATGATTTCTATCATGCAATTGAGAGATCTTTTTTTTTTTTTTTTGAGACAGAGTCTTGCTCTGTCACTCAGGATGGAGTACAGTGGCCCAATCTAGGCTCACCACAAGCTCCGCCTCCCGGTTCACGCCATTCTCCTGCCTCAGCCTCCCTAGTAGCTGGGACTACAGGCGCCCGCCACCACGCCTGGATAATTTTTTGTATTTTTAGTACAGCCAGGGTTTCACCGTGTTAGCCAGGATGGTCTCGATCTCCTGACCTCGTGATCTGCCCACCTCGACCTCTCAAAGTGCTGGGATGACAGGCGTGAGCCACCACGCCCGGCTGAGTTCAAGGCTTTATATCAACGGAGCTGTATTCTGAAGGGCATCTGGCTTCTTTCATTCAGGTTGAAATTTGCATGAATTTACCACAGTTTATGTACACTGTTGGTGGTGAACACTGGGCTATTTTGAGCTTGAGGCTTTTATTAATAAAGCTGCTATCAACAGTTGAGCTCAAGTCTCTAAGTGGACATCTGTTTTTAATGTACCTGGGCCAACATCTAGGAGTGAAATTTTCAGCTCAGTTAATTTTGTGTGTACCTTTCCAAGAATTTTCCAGGGTTTTTGTGCTATTTCACACTGCCACAGCAATGTCTGAGCTTTCCGTTGCTATACATGCTCACCAAAATTTGGAACTGTTAGTGTCTTAAATTTTAACCACAGAATGAAGGTATGTAGTTAAAATAATTAAAGTGGTTATAAAAATATACTTGATTTTCTGCTAGAACAAGTTACCCCTCATTACTCTTCTTCCTCAGAATTTCTAAGTTATAATCAGTTTTCTTAAATTTGAATATTGCTGATGTTCCTTAAAATCTCTATGCTCTTTAGAAATGACCAGAAAGTTCTGCTTTTTAGACAGAGATCACATAAAGTTGGTAGATTACAGTAAGGAAATTAACAGAACTACAAATACGTTTAGCAAAAACAACAACAAAAAAAGTTCTGGATTGCTGTTTGTTAGTTTAATAATGTTCTTCATATCTGTCCAGAAAATTTTTGTAAGTCTAAAATCTATGTAATTTGAGTTTTCCTTGTTGTCAGGTAAGAAAGTAATCCTTCCTCCTACTTTTCATTAGAGTACTACCTTTAGAAAACTAGTATTTTCCCCTCTGTTTTTTGAGGTATATGTAAATCTTTTTAAGAACTAACTAAGCCAGATGGAAGGATGGCACCCCAACAGGTCTTTCTTAATGGCCTTGAGCCTTCTCTTTGAAGTGTAAGGAGTGTTCCCAAGTCCCCTTGTCTTTCCTGAGCAAATTGAGGGTCAGGCTGCTATTTTTTTGTGGCCCAATAATGAGATGCAGATGAACTGAGAAGGAAGAGAGTTTTTATTTCTACAAGTGGTTACAGGGAGAAGGCATGTAGATAATATTACCAGACCCACTCAAAATGATAAAGTTTTATAGAGCTTATATACCTTCTGAGCTATACGTCTATGTGTAAGTGCCCATTTATGTAACGACATAAATGATTAACTTTTTTTTTTTTTTTTTTTTTTTTGAGGCGGAGTCTCGCTCTGTCGCCCAGGCTGGAGTGCAGTGGCGCAATCTCAGCTCACTGCAAGCGCCGCCTCCCGGGTTCACGCCACTCTCCTGCCTCAGCCTCCGGCGTAGCTGGCACTATAGGCGCCCGCCACTACGCCCGGCTGATTTTTTTGTATTTTTAGTAGAGACGGGGTTTCGCGGTGTTAGCCAAGATGGTCTCGATCTCCTGACCTCGTGATCCGCCCATCTTGGCCTCCCAAAGTGCTGGGATTACAGGCGTGAGCCACCGCGCCCGGCCTTAACTTCTTTTAATCTATAACTAAGGTCTGAGTCCTGAGGATCTTCCTCAGGAGCCTCAGTAAATTGACTTAATCTAATGGGTCCAGGTGCCGGGGTGATTACCCTCATGTTGTCTCCTGCTAAATCCAGGAGGTTTGCAGAGTTCCTTCAAAGCCCCAATAAACTTGTTTGTGGAGGCCTGGGGAGTTTCTGCAGACCCCCAGTAAAACTTGTTTAATCCTAAATGGGTCCTGTTAAGAATTCATTCATTATTTTGTCATGCTTTAAGGCCCGGGAAAGTCCTGGGAAAAACTCTCGGTGGGCTTTTGTTACATTCCAGCCTTTGTATAACAGCACTGGCTTTTAATATTTAACCACTCAGTCAATACTGAAACAGGTGTTGTGGGGGCCTGTGTTAGTGAGACCTGGCCTGCGACACTTCCACTCTCAGTTTCCAAGTGCTCTCACTCATACACTGTGAAGGGAACATAAATCTCGGGACCCCCAAGTCACTAAGCTAAAGGGAAAAGTCCAGCTGGGAACTGCTTAGGGCCAACCTGCCTCCCATTCTATTCAAAGTCCCCCCTCTGCTCCCTGAGGCAGATTCGTATCTGATCGCCTCCTTTGGAAAGGCTAATCAGAAACTCAAAAGAAGGCAACTGTTTTGTCTCTCACCTGTTTGTGACCTGAAAACCCTCTCCCTGCTTCCAGTCTTCCTGCCTTTGCTTCAAGTGCTCCACCTTTCCAGACGGAACCAATATACTTCTTCTTTTTTTTTTTTGAGACAGAGTCTTGGTCTGTCGCCCAAGCTGGAGTGCAGTGGCATGATCTCCGCTCCCTGCAACCTCCGCCTCCTGGGTTCAAGTGATTCTCCTGCCTCAGTCTCACAGCCTCAGGCACACACCACCATGCCCAGCTAACTTTTGTATTTTTAGTAGAAACAGGGTTTCACCATGTTGGCCAGGCTGGTCTCAAACTCCTGACCTTGTGATCCACCCACCTCGGCCTCCCAAAGTGCCGGGATGACAGGTGTGAGCCACCTCGCCTGGCCTAATTGACTTTTTTTTTTTTTTAGAAAAAAAAAAAAAAGCCCAATTGTTTAAATCGGTTTAAATTTAAATAGTGGCTTAAATTGGCTTTCAATGAATATGTGTGACCCTGAGCATTTCTAACACACATCAGCTGGTCAATTGCATAATTCCCTCTTCTTTGAATTTTTCTTGTCAGCGAATGGAATGATCATATCCCTCTTCTTTTAGTCGCCTCATAGTCTCTCTCCTCCATTTTCTTTTTCTTTTCTTTTCTTTTCTTTTTTTCACCATCCGTCTGTTTTGGTAGGAGCTATCTATACACAGTTTGTGCTCTATAACCAGAATTTCTGCATCTATAGATCCAACCAGTCTTGTATTGAAAATATTTCAAAAAATAAAATATAGCAATCCAATAAAAAGTAATACAAATAAAAAATAATATAGTATAACAACTATTTGCATAGCATTTACAGCGTATCAGGAGTTATGAGTAACCTAGAGATAATTTAAAGTATACCAGAGGCTGGACACGGTGGCTCATCCCTGTAATCCCAGCACTTTGGGAGGCCAAGGTGGGCAGATTATGTGAGGTCAGGAGTTCGAAACCAGCCTGGACAACATGGTTAAAACCCGTCTCTACCAAAAATACAAAAATTAGCTGGGGGTGGTGGCGCATACCTGTAATCCCAGCTACTTGGGAGGTTGAGTCAGGAGAATCTCTTGAACCCGGGAGGTGGAGGTTACAGTGAGCCAAGATCACGCCACTGCACTCCAGCCTGGGCAACAGAGTGAGATTCTGTCTCCAAATAAATAAATAAAAATATACAGGAACATATACTTGCATTATATGCAAGTACTGCACGTTTTATATCAGAGACTTCAGCAGCTGTGGATTTTGGTGTCTGCGGGGAAGAAGGCGTCTTAAAACTAATCCCCCATGAATTCTGAAGGATGACTGCATTTTGCATATTAAACTTTCCCTGGTGGTATGAGCAGTAAGGAGCCTCTTCTAGTTGACAGCTCATCTTTTGACTTTTTTCAGAGCCTGAAGTTGGAACATTATTATTATTATTATTATTTAAATGTAGACATAGGCTAACCCATTTTTAAAGGTTATGCTTTTTTTTTTTTTTTTTTATACTCTCACTCTGTAGCCTCAGCTGGAGTGCAATGGCAGGATCTCGGCTCACTGCAACCTCCACCTCTCGAGCTCAAGTGATTCTTATGCCTCAGCCTCCTGAGTAGCTGGGACTATGGGCGTGGTTATGCTTTTTGTATTGTATCTAAGAAAAACCTCCTAACTCTGAGGTTATAAGACATTTCCCTCTATTTTTCAAAAAAAAAAGTTTTCTTTTATATTCAGGTTTGTAATCCACCTGTAGTTCATTTTTAAGTATTACATGAGGCTGGGTGTGGTGGTTCACACCTGTAATCCCAGCACTTTGGGACACCGAGGTGGACAGATCACCTGAGGTCAGGAGTTCGAGACCAGCCTGGCCAACTTGGTGAAACCCCGTCTCTACTAAAAAAATGCAAAAATTAGCCAGGCGTGGTGGCACATGCCTGTAGTCCCAGCTGAGGCACGAGAATTACTTGAACCCGGGAGGAGAAGTTTGCGGGGAGGTGAGATCACACCACTGCACTGCAGCCTGGGTGACAGAGCGAGACTCCATCTCAAAAAAAAAAAAAAAAGTATCGCATGAGGTTGAGATTTGATCACGTATCATCCACAAGAACAGCCAATTGTCTCAGTCCTGCCTATGTGGAATTTGGTTTCTTCTCTCATTGTTTTATAGCTGCGACCTCTCTCATATGCCAAGACACAATTCAGTCTGTTTCAAACCCTTCTGAACCTATGCATTGCTCAGTTTCTCTGTCTCTGAGCTACGGTTTTCATTTCTTTCTTCTTTTTTTTTCTTTTCTTTTGAGACAGGGTCTTGCTCTGTCACGCAGGCTGGAGTGCAGTGGCGTGATCATGGCTCACTGCAGCCTCAGCCTGGGCACAGGTGATCCTCCCACCTCAGCCTCCTGAGTAACTGGGACTAGAGGTGCATGCCACCATGTCCACTAATTTTTTTTAATTTTTTTGTAAAGATGGGGTCTCACTATGTTGTCCAGGCTAGTCTCAAACTCCTGGGCTCAAGAAATCAGCCAGTCTCAGCCTCCCAAAGTTCTGGGATTACAGGCGTGAGCCACCACGCCCAGCTCCACATCTTTATTCTTAATAACATTTCCATCTACAGATCCTGGTATTTCTGGGGAAATGCTTTTTAAAATCTCACACTTAGATCTTTAAATTTCCACTTTTAACTTAACCTGAGGTGCAGGCTGGGTCAAGATTCCATTATCATTCAGGGAATCATTCTTTTAGTGGGAAGAACCTCTATTTGGGCCTCAAAGTTGTTTGCACCTCGAAGGTTATTTTGTCTGATTTTGCTAGCCCAACTTGGCTTTCTTTCTATTGGTTATTTGCTTTGCGCATTTTTTTTCCAGCTATTTTCACCTTCTCTTTGGCATTTTGTTGCAAATGCTTCTCTCGTAAATAGCATGAAACATTTTATTTGTATTTTTAGTAGAGATGGGGTTTCACCGTGTTAGCCAGGATGGTCTCGATCTCCTGACCTCGTGATCCACCCGCCTCGGCTTCCTACAGTGCTGGGATTACAGGCGTGAGCCACTGCGCCCAGCCGAAACATTTTAAATTGCATCATCTCATCTCCGTCTTTTTACAGATTTATTAAATCACTGAACATCTAACATAACTAAGGATTCACTATTCCTACTATTTTATTTTACTTTTCTTCTTTTTTAATTCCTTCCTTCTTAACTTCCATTTAGTATTCAGGTTTTTAATTTATTATTTTTTTTTATTTTTGAGACAAAGCCTGGCTCTGCCACCCAGGCGGAAGTGCAGTGGCGCAATCTCAGCTCACTGCAACCTCCACCTCTGGGGCTCAAGTGATCCTCCCACCTCAGCCTCCTGAGTAGCTGGGACTACAGGCATTCACCACAACACTTGGCTAATTTTGGTATTTAATTTTACTCTTCATTTTTTTTGTATTTAATTTTATTCTTCATTCTTCATTTTCATCCACTAGTTCAGGAGTTATATGTTCAATTTTTATTTTTAGCAGGAACACTTAACCTTAAAATGTCAAAATCCAGCAATATCTAACTACTTTTACTCAGTTCTTCCTTTCTTATCCTCTCTGTGAAGGTAGCCTCATCTTCAGAAGTTAAGTTTCACTTTGTTGTTAACACCAGTTATTATTATTTTTTTAAACAGCTAACAATCACTTAGTTTTACCGGCTTGTTTGCAATGTCTTTGGCTGGCATTGCTATTCGCATCCTGCTGTGCTATTCAGGGTGTGAATTTCTTCTTATGGCAGAGCATCATTTGGAAGATTTTTCAGCAAAATTTGCAGAGCTTCTTGTTGGAAATCTTTATGCTATCATCACTCTCCAACAGCAATTTAGCTGCATTTTCAATTCTTGCTTGATAGTGAACATTTCCTGAACAACCTATAAACACCCGTCCATTGACTTCCTGACATCTCTCATGGCAGTCAAGGAGTCTGCTGGAAGTCTGGGAGTTATTTCTTTTTGTTGTTGTTGTTGTTGAGACGGAGTCTCGCTCTGTCGCCCAGGCTGGAGTGCAGTGGGAGATCTCGGCTCACTGCAAGCTCCGCCTCCCGGGTTCACGCCATTCTCCTGCCTCAGCCTCCCAAGTAGCTGAGACTACAGGCGCCCGCCACCATGCCTGGCAAATTTTTTTTGTATTTTTTAGTAGAGACGGGGTTTCACCTGTAATGCCCAACCTGGTTTTTACTAACCTGTTTTTAGACTCTCCCTTTTCCTTTACTCACCTAGCCTTCTTTCCACCTGAATGGACTCTCCCTTAGCTAAGAGAGCCAGCCAGACTCCACCTTGGCTCTTTCACTGGCAGCCCCTTCCTCAAGGACTGAACTCGTGCAGGCTGACTCCCAGCACATCCAAGAATGCAGTTAACTGATAAGATACTGTGGCGAGCTACATCCGCAGTTCCCGGGAATTCGTCTGATTAGTAACGCCCAAAGCCCCGCGTCTATCACCTTGTAATAGTCTTAAAGCCCCTGCACCTGGAACTGTTTACTTTCCTGCAACCATTTATCCTTTTAACTTTTTGCCTACTTTACTTCTGTAAAATGGTTTTCACTAGACCCCCAGCCCTCCCCTTCCTAAACCAAGATCTAAAAGTTAATCAAGCCCCTTCCTCAGGACCGAGAGACTATTAAGCATTAGCCGTCTCTCGGTCGCTGGCTTATAAAGGACTCTTAATTTGTCTCAAAGCGTTTTTCTAACTCGCTCAGGTACAACATACCGTGTTAGCCAGGATGGTCTCGATCTCCTGACCTTGTGATCCACCCGCCTTGGCCTCCCAAAGTGCTGGGATTACAGGCGTGAGCCACTGCGCCCGGCCCCGGGAATTATTTCTTTTTCTTTTCTTTTCTTTTCTTTTTTTTTTTTTTTTTGAGACGGAATCTCACTCTGTCACCCAGGTTGGAGTGCAGTGGCATGATCTCGGCTCACTGCAACCTCCACCTCCCGGGTTCAAGTGATTCTCTTGCCTCAGCCTCCCGAGTAGCTGGGATTACAGACATGTGCCATCATGCCCAGCTAATTTTTTTATATTTAGTAGAGACCAGGTTTCACCATGTTGGCCAGGTTGGTCTCGAACCCCTGACCTCAGATGATCTGCCCACCTCGGCCTTTCAAAGCGCTGGGATTACAGGTGTGAGCCACCGCCCCCAGCCAAAGGTTACCTTTTTAATTGAAAATAAATAAATAAATTGAAGTCAAATTTACATATAATTAACCATTTAAAAGTGAATAATTCAGGGGCACTTAGAATATTCACAGTGTTGTGCAGCCATCACCTCTGTGTACTTCCAGAATGCTTTCGTTCCCCCAAAAAGAAACCTGGAATTTATCAAGCAGTCACTCTCTCTTTCCCCTCCAGCCCCTGGCAGTCACGACATTGCTTCTGGTTCTAGGGATTCACCTATTCTTGAAATTTCATCTTCATAAAAATATACATTATGTGATCATTTGTGTCTGGCTTCTTTCTCTTTGCAAAATGTTTTTGAGGCTCAACCACTTTGTAGCAATTTTCAGTGCTTCATTCCTCTTCAAGGCTAAATAATATTCCATTGTGTGAATGGACCACATTTTGTTTATCCATTCCTTCCACTGATTAACATGTGAGTTATTTCTATCTTTTAGCTATAATGAATAGTGCTGCTCTGAACATTTGTGTACACATTTTTCTTGGAACCCGTGTTTTCAATTATTTTGAGTACATACCTAGGAGTGGAATTGCTGGTTCATAGAGTAATCCTGTATTTAACTTTTGGAGGATCCACCAAAGCATTTGTTCACAGTGGCTGTACCATTTTAGACTCCCACCAGCACTGTACAAACATTCCAGTTTCATCACATCCTTGCCAACACTTGTTATTTTCCATTTTAGATTTTAGCCATCTCAGTGGGGACGAAGTGGTGCTTCACTGTGGTTGTGATTTGCATTTCCCTAATCACCACATTTTGCTTTCAATATCTGCTATCTGGTACAGTTGTTGCATCTCTTTCATATACCCCACAGTTCTGTAAAACATCCTCAACCATCCCCTCCGTAAGCATCAGTTCAAGGACGTTGCCTCAGTTTTTCCCAGCTGAAGAGACACTCACCTGAGTTTGGCTTCTTGGTGGGTTCTGTGAACAAAGAGAGAAAATAAATGCAATATGCATTGAAGATTCATTGGAAGCATGAAGAAAGGCCATGAACGCCCTGATGAAAGGTGAAAAGGGAGTGACAAAGCCATACAAAGTAAATGATATAGACACAAATTCCATGTTGAATTGAGAAAAAAGACAAGAAAACACCCTTAAAATCCATTCAAAAACAATCCACCCTTGAGGCTGTGAGGATGCCCACAGGATGGCCAAAGTAGCTGAGAACATCCAAGACAAGTAAGTGAGCCACCTGCCCGTAGAGCCACCACAGGGCTGGACGGTGGAGGGTGAGGCAGGGGGAGGCAAAAGAAAAGAAGGAGAAAGACTTGCAGCTTCCAGAATGATGGCTTATCTCACTTTCTTTCATTCATTCATTTATTCATTCAGCAAATATGTATTGCATGGATGTGGATATCAGGTCAGGAGTGCTCAGGGTGCAGCCTGTGACTGCCCTGCTTAGTGAACCTGGGTGTGCAGTGTGGATGGGCAGACGAGGGCAGGAGGAGGTTTGAGGAAGATGGCTCAAAGGAGGTGGAGTCGGCCATGGCTGGGAAAATTGGAGCTTCAGGGCTGTGCAATGGCCAGACTTCTTCCAAACAGAGGAAACACCGTATTTGAAAGCATGGTTTACATAACAGCCTAGCATTGCCTTGGTAGGAGGCGGCTGGAACACGGGTTTGTGTGTGGTGCGGACATTCACTGGGGATGCAGAGACTGCAAGAAGGAGAGCTTGAACCTCCAAACGGGGCATATGGTTTCGCATGTCCTGTATTTTAATAGAAGGTTTCTCATCACCTTTTCTCCTTCCTGCCACCTCCCTCTCCCTTCCTGCCCTCCCTTCTTCCTTCCTTCCTTCTCTCCTTCCTTCCTTCTCTCCTTCCTTCCTTCTCTCCTTCCTTCCTTCTCTCCTTCCTTCCTTCGCTCCTTCCTTCCTTCGCTCCTTCCTTCCTTCTCTCCTTCCTTCCTTCTCTCCTTCCTTCCTTCTCTCCTTCCTTCCTTCTCTCCTTCCTTCCTTCTCTCCTTCCTTCCTTCTCTCCTTCCTTCCTTCGCTCCTTCCTTCCTTCTCTCCTTCCTTCCTTCTCTCCTTCCTTCCTTCTCTCCTTCCTTCCTTCTCTCCTTCCTTCCTTCTCTCCTTCCTTCCTTCTCTCCTTCCTTCCTTCTCTCCTTCCTTCCTTCTCTCCTTCCTTCCTTCTCTCCTTCCTTCCTTCCTTCCCTCTCTCCTTTTCCCCCTTCTTCTTTCCTTCCTCCCCACCCTCCTTTCTTCCTTCCTCCCCTCCAACCTTTCTCCTCTCCCTCTCTCCTTCCTTCCCTCCGTCCTTCCCTTATTCTTTTTCTTTCTTCCTTTCTTCTCCTATTTTTCTTTCTTTCCTTCCCCCCTCCTTTCTTCCCTTCCTCCTTCATTCCTCTCCTTCTTCCTTCCTCCCCTCAGTCTTTTCTTATCTCCTCTCCTTTCTTCTTCCTTCCTTCCCTCCATCGTTCCCTCTCTTCTTCCTTTTCTTCCCTCCTTGTTTCCATCCTTTTTCCTCCCTCCCTCCCTGTTTTCCTCTGTCCTTTCATTGTTTCCTTCTTTTCTTTCTTCTCTTCCTTTTCCCTTCCTTCCTCCTCCCACCCTCCCTCCCTCTCTCCCATCCTTCCTTTCTCTGTCTCCTTTTTAAAATGTAAAATTATAACTATTTTTTAAAATAGTGATACACTCACAGAGTTTCTTAAAGCCCAGGCAGTATAGACAGTGAAAAGTGAATTCCCCACAGTCGCCATGCAGGTGACTGTGGTTCCTCTGCACTGGGGCTTCCTTCCCATGAGGAAGGGCTGTGGATGAACAGGCACATGCCTGCCCATTCATGGGGGGCTCTTGGTAGCAAAACGATGCATTCAAAGATGTGTTTGCAGGCACTGGCAGCCTTCTAGGTGAGCAATGAAAAGGTAGTAGCAGGTGAGTGGAAAATAAGTTTATTTATGTGATTTTTAAAAAATTAATGTGAAACTCACATATAAAATTTGACATTTTAAAGTGTGCAATTCAATGGTGTTTCATATATTCACAATATTGTACAATCACCACCTGTATCTAGTTCCAGAACAGTTTCATCCCCCCAAAAGGAGACCCCATAGCCACGAGCAGTCCCTCCCTTTTGTCCCCTCTTCCAGCCCAACAATCGCTAATCCACTTTCTGTCTCTCTGAATTTGCCTATTCTGGACATTTCATATTAATGGGATCCTACACCCTGTGGCCTTTTGTGCCTGGCTTGTTTCACTGAGCACAGTTTCAAGGCTCATGTAGCACGCATCAGAACCCCCTTCCTTTTTACAGCCAAATCATATTCTGTTGCCTGGAGGGACCACATTCTGTTCATTCATTCATCCCCTGATGGACAGTTGGGTTGTTTCCACCTTTGGCTTATTGTGAATATTGCTGCTGCAAACATGGGTACACAAATAACTGTTTGAGTCCCTGCTCCCAATTCTCTTGGGTATCTGTCTAGAAGTGGAACTCCTGGGTCACATGTCAGTGATCTTTCAGATCAATAACATGTCTTGTTCTGTATCTGAGCCTACCAGCCAGCCCCTCCTTCACTATTGCACAGGGTTCTCTTGCAGATATGCCTCATTCTTTATCCAGACCAAACGCTGGTGCAACACACTCAGTCTGAATTTTGGAGATAATCCCCCAATGCTTCCAAAGTGGTTGCAACCACACACCTGCCTCTAACCCCCACCCCTCAATCTGCCTTGACAGGGTAGGATTCAACCTTCACCTTTTCTAACTTCATGGGAGAAATGGCATCTCCATGTTGGGGTGAGTCATTACATTTTCCTGTTGCACTGACAACAATTTTGTATCTGCCTTTTAGGATAATTATTAGCAAAAACATCACTGTGTGCAGAAAACTGGGAGAGAGATGAGTTCCTATCATCTTGTTGTTGGCTTTTTAGGATCAGATCTGGTTATCATTCTCTCTTCCTCCAACAAACACCATTATGTAACTGCACTGGTCAACCAGTTGTTCCCAATGCTAAAGCCCAATGGATTCTTCCTCTGTGTACACAAAAGTTTATTTTTCTTTCAAAATAAATGTTTGGTTCCATTGTGCCTGCATCAGAAACCAAATCTTTCCCTTTCTCCCACCCACCGCGGTCTGAATACACCTGAATCTCAATCAGACTATCTGCCTCAAGCAGGACTTTCTGCAGGGCCCAGGACACATATTTTCAGCATTCTGGTCAGCCAGAAAGGTTCTAGCTGAACTTGGACTGATGAAAACACAGAATGGGAAGATTCCAGGTCCTCAGTGCCCTGGAGAAGAAAAACTCACAGCCCCGTCAGTGAAGGTAACCAGAGAAGTTGAGGGGAGAACGGAATGAAGTGTGCTCTGGGAGGGGAGATTGGAGGCCATGGATTGGGATCGGGGTATGGGACAATGAGGGATATGAACTGAAGTGTAAGAAAAGCAGAAACTGGGGAGATTGGAGGCCATGGATTGGGATCGGGGTGTGGGACAATGAGGGATATGAACTGAAGTGTAAGAAAAGCAGAAACTGGGCCAGGCATGTTGAGGCACGTCTGTAATCCCAGTGTTTTGAGAAACCAAGGTAGAAGGATTTCTTGAGCCCAGGGGTTCAAGACCAGCCTGGGCAACATAGTGAGAATCCGTTTCTACAAAAAAGAAAAAAGAAAAAAATTAGCTTGGCATGGGGGCACACACCTGTTGTTCCAGCTACTTGGGAGGCTGAGGTGGGAGGATCACTTGAGCCAGGAAGTCGAGGCTATGTGGTAAGCTATGATTGCACCACTGCACTCCAGTCTGGGCATCAGAACGAGACTCCCATCTCAACAAAATAAAGTAAAATAAAATAATAAAATACTAGCATATTCCTAAACCACAGGTTTAGAAGCACAGACCTACCAAGAAATGAGTCTGAGACTTTTAGAGAGTGTGTAAAGGTTTGTCTCAAGGTGTCTGCAATCTCCTGCAAAGAACAGAGATCTCAAGACCAAGAAATTCCCAACACTGGCCCAATCCAACCCCAAAGTAACTATACAGCTGATGCTGTTAGATCCAAGCTGAAAAGGGAAGGCTCCCCTTGAAATATCGGCACTTACCAGGGTCATCAAGGGCATCTGCCAAATCAAAGTCTCTTTGACCTATTGGGAGCAAACAGGGCATAAGTCACCCCATGATGGAAAGGCCAGAATCCCCCTTGTTCCTCACCTCATGCTGCTCCCCTCCTCCTGCAAGCCTAGGGTCGCCCAGAGCACTAAAACTAACCTGACCATGAGCTACATGGGAGATGCAACCACCACCTCCACCTAGTCCCAGAGCATACTCATCACCCAAAAGAAGACCCCTGTCCCCATTCAGCAGTTAGTTCCCCTCCCGCCTCCCCAGCCCCTGACAACCACTATCCACTTTCTGTCTCCATGAATTGTCTGTTCTGCAAATTTCTTATAAATAGAATTCTACAATATGTGGTATTTTGTGCCTGGCTTCTTTCATTGAGCATGATGCTCTTGAGTTGCGTTCACGTTGCAACCTGTGTCAGAGCTTCATTCCTGCTCATGGCCAGGAAACTTTGAAGGAAGCCTCTCTCCAAGCACATAGACTTCTCTCCTGGACTGTCCCACTCACAGCTTAGGACAGGCATATCCCCGCCCCCCAACGCCCCCCCCACCCCTCCACACACGCACAGAGTCTAGGTTGAGAGGGGCTGCCCTAGAAGAAGGTGAAGCACAACAATGTGAGGGTCCTGGATGCCTGAGAGACTATATGGAGCATAGGACACCTTTGCCACCTCACCTGGCTGCAACACAAACAAGAGATAAACTTTTAATTCTTTGGGGGCTGTTTGTTATAGCAGCTAGCCTACACTGACAAATACAGGGTCAGGAAGCAACCTGTGTGGACAAGCTGAGGTTCCTACCTGATCCAAAAGCAGTTAATCTAATGAATGTGTCTGCAGCAGAGAGAAGAGAACATTCACATCTTTGGGACACATCATTAAAAACACACTGCAGAATTTGTGAGGGTGAAGGGTCCCTCTTGCTGACATATATGCACACCTTGATCTTGTTCCTCACTTGCCCCTGCCAGTACTAGCCTTGTAGAGAAAACACCACCAGAGAATTTATCAGGAAGTAGAGGATGCAGCCAGGAGCACATTGAGTCAGCACTTACTATGCATTGAGTTCTGTTGCAGTAATGCCAGGCACCCAAGAGTCTCATCTGCCCACCCAAGGATGTTGGTATGACCAGCATGCATATTTCCCAAAGGAAGAAACTGAGGTTCTGGGAAGTTCAGGGCAAGGCAGGAGCAGAGTCAGAATCTACAGAATTGTCCAGGGGGGACAATCTCTCACTCAAACACTAAGCCCTGGAGGAGGCTAAGCCTGGGGGAACCAGGTGAGCCCTAGGTACTGGGTCTCCCCCGCTCTGATGTCTGTCTCCCTCCCAAAAATCGGTCTGCCTCGGTGACGCTTGCTCTGGGGGAAGGTTCAAGGGCTCCAACATAGATTCGTATAGGCTGTGGCATGGCTCCAGTCAGATGCCACCCGGGCAGGCTTTGCCGCTCCTTGTGGAGGCAATTAGGGCCTCTCCGGAGCAGAAGACGCATCCCCAGACAGGAATCCCTAAGTCAGGACAAAGTCACAAACCTTGGAGGGAAGGGGAACTCTGAGCCCAGGGTGCACACAGCAGCTGCCCCTGGGCCCAGACTGGAGGCTGGGAGCTGGCGGTGCCATCACAGGTCAAATCCCACACGGCCGTTTCTCTCAAACTCTGGGAGCCCCCACGTCCCTCTCAGATGACGTTCTCTGTTACCAGCGATCACTACAGGCTCGCCTTTAAGAACAACCCAGCAAATCTTTGCTCCATCCAGCTCTCTTCTTATTTTTTCTTTATTGTTGTTTTCTTTTTGTTTGTTTTGTTTTTAGATGGCGTCTCTCTCTGTCGCCTAGGCTGGAGTGCAGTGGCACAATCTCAGCCCACTGCAACTCCCACCTCCTGGGTTCAAACGATTCTTGTGCCTCAGCCGTCTGAGTAACTGGGATTACAGGTGCATGCCATCACGCCCAGCTAACTTTTGTATTTTCAGTAGAGACAGGGTTTCACCATGTTGGCCAGGCTGGTCTCGAACTCCTGACCTCAAGTGACCCACCTGCCTTGGCCTCCCAAAGTGCTGGGATTACAGGCGTGAGCCACCGCACCTGGCCTCCTCCAGCGCTCTTGATCATCATGGTCCAAGCTGCTCAGACTGGGCTGGGGGACAGGAACCGTGTCAGCCTCTTGGATCTGTGCAACATCTCCCCTCCAAGGCTGCCAGCAGTTCCAGTCGAGACACCTGTCCAGGACGCCAAAGTTAAGCGTCCCGGCTATGCACACACCCTGAGAATTTACATTCCAATCTGTGTTCGCCGTTGACCAATATCTTTCACTGTGTTATGTCTCCGCCCATCCCAGCAATCCCAGGCATCCCCTCAGCAACCACTTAATCTCCTCCAATCTGTGCACCCGGCCACTCCCTGCTGTTGCCCTAAATAACCAAAGGCCTCGGTGTTGTCTCTCCCCTCCCAGTCCCTCCTCTCTGAAATGCTGTTGCATAAAACAGGCAGGTGGCACGGGAGGGCTGCAGACAGCTCGTCTCATCCTGCAGCAGGAGGCCAGGTTGCAGCGGAGGCTCCTTCAGCTTTGAGATGCTCCGGATGACCCTGAGAGATGACAGGAATTGGGGGTGGGGAGGGTCACAGAGGAAGTGGAGCCTGGGGGCTTTAGGCTTTGCTTGGTTTCAGGGGTTGCACTACAGCCAGAAGTTGCTGCACGCGTGACTCACACACACGAGGCCGTTGTTGGTCACATCCAGACCTCGTTACATAAACCAGGCGGACTCCGGCCAGCATCAGACGGCCTGGGCACTGAGACAGTCTCCAGTCCCGCATGCCAGGCAGCAAATCTATCTCCCAGGCAGGGCCCCCTGTCCTCTCTCCTCTCCAGGGAAGTTGCAGCAAAGCCACGCCTGGGGTCCTCACGGGTCTGGAGTAAGACCCCTGGGCTGGGAGATGTCCCAGGTAGACAACGCTAACTCTGGGGTCTCTGTCTCCAAGGTCGGGTTGCACATGACGCCATTGCTTTCACGGGGTTTATTTTCCACTGGGAACATAAGACGGGGCAGGAACAGGAGATCTATTTCTGATTTGCTTTGCTTATAGTTAGTGAACTGAGCGGCTTTTAATCAAATCCTTGTGGTCTGGGATCCCTAAACCCCCAAGAAGAAAGCAGCCTCATTTTGTGCTGGGACTATGACAACGGTCCTCGGTTGCTGGCATCCTGGAGATGTCGATTAAGTGGCTCCTGTTGGTGGATGGGTGGGCCGAGCGTTACACATGAGCCCCCGGTAAAGCTGTGCTCGGGACCCTTCGGAGCAAAGCCATGTGATACAGCACTTTGAAGCATTCTTCTGTAGCCTGCAGTCACCAAACCCCTCTGGGACCCAAATTCCACCCCTGCCGGATTCAAAGATGCTTCTTATTGGAGTTCCCCTGCCTCCCACCCAAATTCTTTATGTTGATTCAGACCTGCACGTGGTTCAGGCTTACGAAACAATACCGCCAAGTGCAGGCCTCAGCAGCAGCCTCAGAAGCAGAAGTTTCTCTCGGAACTTCTCCAGCCCCCATGTCTCTGAGTCCCATTCTCCCCTAAGGCACCGAAGGAACTAGAATCCCTCTTCCCCAAGACGGGTCCCAGAAACAAGAACGCCTTTCCCCCCGAAGCCAGCCATAAAACCTAAAAACAGGAATCTAACTTTCCCTCTATCCTATCTGTATAAAGAGTGGCACAGGCTGGGCGCGGTGGCTCACACCTGTAATCCCAGCACTTTGGGAGGCCGAGGCAGGCGGATCACGAGGTCAGGAGATCGAGACCATCCTGGCTAACACGGTGAAACCCCGTCTCTAGTAAAAATACAAAAAAATTAGCCGGGTGTGGTGGCGGGCGCCTGTAGTCCCAGCTACTCGGGAGGCTGAGGCAGGAGAATGGCGTGAACCCGGGAGGCGGAGCTTGCAGTGAGCCGAGTTCACACCAGTACACTCCAGCCTGGGTGACAGAGCAAGAATCTGTCTTGAAAAAAAAAAAAAAAAAAAAAAAAGTGGCCATAAGGAAATTCCCTGACCTGCCTTGTTTGGGCGTCCTAAGACCCCCCATCCCAGAGAAGCTCCCAGCCCCATACCCGGAAGGAAGGAGCACTGTTCAGAGAGGCCAAGAAGAGGCCGGGTGCGGTGGCTCACGCCTGTAATCCCAGCACTTTGGGAGGCCGAGGAGGGCAGATCACAAGGTCAAGAGATCGAGACCATCCTGGCCAACATGGTGAAACCCCGTCTCTACTAAAAATACAAAACTTAGCTGAGCGTGGTGGTGCGTGCCTGTAATCCCAGCTACTCAGGAGGCTGAGGCAGGAGAATTGCTTGAACCTGGGAGGTGGAGATTGCAGTGAGCCAAGACTGTGCCACTGCACTCCAGCCTGGCAACAGAGTGAGACTCCGTCTCAAAAAAAAAGAGAGAGAGAGAGGCCAAGAAGAATCTAGACACACAGGCCTGGCTGGGTTTCCCCACTCAGGCCATTAGCATTGGATCAGGCCCTTTTTGTCCAACCCTATTTCTACACAGCTGTCCAGACTTGGATGAACCAAAGCATAAATATAGACAATCTCCCCTTGTAACTTGGGGTCTTCATTCTGAATGCTCCCGTGTATACACATTAAATACATTTGTATGTCTTTTCTCCAGTTAATAAATCTGCTTCATGTCCATGATTTTCAGTAATGCTTCAGGGGCCACGACCCCAGAAAGTCAATATAACAAACAGCAATTTTGCAAAGCAAAGAACAGTACCATTGCTCGAATAATAATGCAATGTCGAGGCCACTGCCCACTGAATATTAGCTGCCACCAGCACAGCTGCCACGCAGCACAGGAGAGCAATGGACCCACAGCAAAACCTCTGCTCCCCACTGAATTATTTACCTCGCTTTAAAGAAGAAAATCAGCTCCCAGCAGGCTCTGAGCAGAAAATGAAAAGGAACACACAGAGACTATCTAAATCCCTGACCCCAATTACAGCTATTGCCAGCAGAATTTATACACCACGGAACTGAATTAGAGCCAACTGCAATCATTACGGGACGTGCAACCACATTAGTAAATTCAGACAGGCTCTTCTGTTTCATTATTCAATCCAATGTCCTTTGATCTGCGTGCCCTGGTGAAACAAAGCCCTTTCAAGCAATTGTTTCCTTCCTTCCTTCCTTCCTTCCTTCCTTCCTTCCTTCCCTCCCTCCCTCTTTCTCTCTTTCTCTCATACAGAACCTCACTATGTTGCCCAGGCTGCAGTGCAATGGCGCAATCTCTGTTCACTGCAACCTCTGCCCCCCAGGTTCAATTGATTCTCCCGCCTGCCTCAGCCTCCTGAGTAGCTGGGATTACAGGCGCCCCCTACTATGCCCAACTAATTTTTTTTATTTTTAGTAGAGATGGGGTTTCACCATGTTGGCCAGGCTGGTCTCAAACTCCTGACCTCGTGATCCACCCACCTTGGCCTCCCAAAGTGCGGAGATTACAGGCATGAGCCGCCGTGCCTAGCCTTTTTTTTTTTTTTTTTTTTTTTTGGATAAAGAATCTCACTATGTTGCCCAGGCTGCAGTGCAATGGCGCACTCTCGGCTCACTACAACCCCTGCCTCCCTGGTTCGAGCGCTTCTAGTGCCTCAGTCTCCTGAGTAGCTGGGACTACAGGTGCATGCCACTACGCCCAGGTAATTTTTGTGTTTTTAGTAATGACGGGGTTTCACCATGTTGGCCAGGATGGTCTTGAACTCCTGGCATGAAGTGATTCACCCGCCTCGGCCTCCCAAAGTGCTGTAATTACAGGCATGAGCCACCGCCCCCGGCCTATTTTTTATTTCTTTACATCGGATTGTACTGGTTTCCTCTGAAGTGTGGGTTCATTTAAATCAACTTTCTTGGGTCAGCTGCTGCAGATGAAGCCACTTAGTGGGTACTAAGCCCATAGAGCCCTCCTCAGCTTGAGGAAGCCCACAGAGGGGAAAGTTCCGAGGTTTTACAAAGCTGGCACAGGGACCCCGAGAAGGACAAATCTTGACTTCCTTCAGGCAAATCCTAAGGTTTCTCTTTGACTCCAGTTCAGCAATTAAAAAATACCTATGTGTATATATAGAAAGCATATGATAATGGTTCTTGTGACTGAACTTGTGACCGGAAAGAGGTCTGGAATCAGACCCCAGGACAGGGTTCTTGGACCTTGCACAAGAAAGAATTTGCGGCGAGTCCATAAAATGAAAGCAAGTTTATTAGAAAAGCAGAGGAATAAAGAATGGCTCCTCCATAGACGGAGCAGCCCCGAGGGCCACTGGTTGCCCATTTGTATGGTTCTTTCTTGAGGATATGCTAAACAAGGAGTGGCCCATTCATGCCTCCTCTTTTTAGACCATATAGGGTAACTTCCTGACATTGCCGTGGCATTTGTAAACTGTCATGGTGCTGGTGGGAAGACACAAGTGAGGACCACCCGAGGTCACTCTCATCGCCATCTTGGATTTGGTAAAATTTGGCCGACTTCTTTACGGCAAGCTGTTTCATCAGCAAGGTCTTTATGACTTGTTTCTTGTGTCAACCTCCTATCTCATCCTGTGCCTTAGAATGCCTTGACCATCCGGGAATGCAGCCCGGCAGCTCTCGGCCTCATTTTACACAGCCCCTACTCAACCTGGAGTTGCCCTGGTTCGAACACCTCCCACTAACTCAACTTAGGTCCACCGGCCCTGTGCAGTAAAGCCGAACACCGCCATTGGGATTGCAGCGTGAGGAAGTGAGGCGTTTATTCCGAGCTATTTAGAGGGCATCAAGCAACCTCCTTGATGCCTCAAGACCCAACCTCCTGGGTGGCCAGTAGCTGAGGGTTTTCAATGGCAAGGAGGCAGAGGTTACAGGCAAAGCCATAATACATGCAGGCTATACATTGCTTTGATCTAAAAAGGCGGGATACCTGGAAGCAGGGGCTTAATGTGGATTCAAAGTTTCTCTGATTTGTCATTGGTTAAGGAGGCCAAGTTTGTCTGAGCATTTGGGGTCAGCAGAAATCAATGTTAGTTGTGGCCATTGGTGTGACTTCCTCCAGCACGTCCCCTCACCCCCCTTCCACCCCCCTCCCACCGCCACATGCCCCAGGGAAGGAATTTAGAACAAACATTTGTAATGAGAATTCAGGCCTCAGTTTCTCTTACCCAACGTCTATGAGCCAGCAGATGGCATTTTTTATTTGGTGGGGGTCTGGGTTCCTGAAAATCAACTCAGGGCCATATAGTAAGATGTTATCTTGGCTGGGCATGGTGGCTCACACCCGCAATCCCAGCACTTTGGGAGGCCAGGGCAGGCAGATTACCTGAGGTCAGGAGTTCCAGACCAGACTGGCCAACATGGGGAAGCCCTGTGTCTACTAAAAATACAAAAATGTGGGCGTGGTGGTGTGCACCTGTAGTCCCAGCTACTTGGGAGGCTGATGCATGAGAATCACTTGAACCCAGGAGGTGCTGGAGGTTGCACTGAGCCAAGATTGCACCACTACACTGCAACCTGGGTGACAGAGCAAGACTCCATCTCAAAAAAGGATGTTATCTTTAGTCTTTACAGGAAACTAAACATATTGAGGCTCTAACTTCCTTGGCTATTGTTCTACACTACAATCACCTTCTTGCTTATCAAGCTGCTCCATGTACTTCTCAAGGCCAGCGAGGTGCCTGGAATTTCCCTTGAAGGAACTCAAGGTTTTCCTTTATTTCCATGCTAGGGAGAGTGCCTGGCAGGCCCCTAAGAGGGTTGTCCTTGCTCCATCTCACTCTCTCCCAGGACGGCATGATTCACAGAGTAAAAAAAATTAAATCATATGACTAGGTTAGGACCGTAGGTTGCAACAGAAAGTGACAAGGAAGGCTGCTGCCCCAATGGGGAATCTTATTCCCGGGGGGCTTGTTTGCCAAGGGCTGAATTCTACTTTAGCCCCATGGATAAGATGAAATCCATTCTGTTCTCTAATTGGTTAAGAAGTTTATATTTCCAGCAGGACAGGAAATCAAACACAGCTGGAGTCTCCTCCTCCACACCTCAACATGAATATCCAGGGACTCCCTAATGCTCAAGCTCACCGGGGCTGCAGACACCAGAGCTGAGCAGGCCGCCCTGGTGCATGATCTGCTCCTCGGAACCCATGAACCCTCCACGGTCTCAGCATCCAAGCAGCCCAGCCTCTCCCCAGAAGGTCAACCAACTGGCCCCGTTCTTGACTTCCCAGTGACCATATTATGCAGTTGCAGATTGAAGCTCTATTAGAGCAGACATTGGTAATGAGAATTCAGGCCTCAGTGTCTGTCTGTAACACAACAGACGGTGTCTGCAGAGATCGAAGTATTTTGTCGTCGAAGAGGAAGGAATGATCATTCATCACAAAAAGCAAGACATCTTTGGTGCAAGGAAAACTCGAGGAAAATACCGCAGACCATGCAATGAGGCACTGGTTGACGGTGTGTTATAAACCCGTCTTCCCAGAGTGGCATGCACACGGATCCCTCAGGACATGGGTGACACACAGACTATGCTTCAGCAGGTCTGTCTGGGCCCAAGACACAGTGTTTCTCATCAGCTCCCAGGGGATGTCAAGGCTGCAGATCCATGGATCTCACTTTGCAGGACAGAGACTTGGTAATGGCTTCCCAGAGTTGTTACAATGCAATCCCAAAGACTGGGCAGCTTAAACAACAACCTTGATTCTCCCACAGTCCTGGAAGCTGGAAGTCTGAGATCAAGGTGTGGGCAGGGCCGGTTCCTCCTGAGTCCTCTCTCCTGGGCTTGTAGATGCCGTCTTCTCCCTGAGTCCCCACGTGGTCATCCCTCTGTGTGCGTCTGTGTCCTCATCTCCTCTTCTTATGAGGTGTCTTAGTCCATTTCAGGCTGCTGTCACAGCATACCATAGACTGGGTGGCTTATAAGCAACAGACATTGATTCTCCCACAGCCCTGGAGGCTGGACGTCTTGAGATCAGGATATGGGCAAGGCTGTTTCCTCCTGAGGCCTCTGTCCTGGGCTTGTAGACACCATCTTCTCCCTGTGTCCCCACGTGGTCATCCCTCTATGTGCATGTCTGTGTCCTCATCTGCTCTTCTTATGAGATGTCTTAGTCCATTGCAGGCTGCTATCACAGAATACCATAGGCTGGGTGGCTTACAAACCACAGACTTTTATTCTCCCACAGTCCTGGAGGCTGGAATTCTGAGATCAAGGCATGGGCAGAGCTGGTTCCTCCTGAGGCCTCTCTTCTTGACTTGTAGACACCCTCTTCTCCCTGTGTCTTTACAGGGTCATCCCTCTGTGTGTGTCTGTGTCCTTATCTACTCTTTTTATAAGGACCCCAGTCCTATTGGATCAGGGCACAACCTCCTGAGCTCATTGTACCCTTCTCACCTCTTTAAAGACCCCATCACCAAACACAGTCATGTTCTGAGGTCCTAGGGATTAGGCCTTCAATATATAAATTTTGGAGACGCACAATTCAACCCTTACAGAGGTAACTCATTCATTGGAATACAAATGTGTTTGTCCACTGTGGCTGCTGCCATAGCAAAGTCCCACAGACCAGGCTGTTTAAACAGTGGACATTGATTCTCCCACAGGCCTGGAAGCTGGAAGTCTGAGATCAAGGTGTGGGCAGGGCTGGTTCCTACTGAGACCTCTCTCCTTGGCTTGTGGATGCCATCTTTTCCCTAAGTCCTCACAGGATCGTCCCTGTGTGCATGTCTGTGTCTTCATCTCGTCTTTTTATAAGGTCTGCAGTCCTGTTGGATCAGGGCCCAACCTAGTGACCTCATTTTGCCTGAATCACCTCTTTTTTTTTTTTTTTTTTTTTTGAGACAGAGCCTCGCTCTGTCGCCCAGGCTGGAGTGCAGTAGTGCGATCTCGGCTCACTGCAACCTCCACCTCCCAGGTTCAAGCGATTCTCCTGCCTCAGCCTCCCAAGTAGCTGGGACTACAGGCACGCCCAGCTAATTTTTTTTTTTTTTTTGTATTTTTAGTAGAGATGGGGTTTCACCGTGTTAGCCAGGATGATCTCCATCTCCTGACCTCATGATCTGCCAGCCTCAGCCTCCCAAAGTGCTGGGATTACAGGCATGAGCCACCGCACCCAGCCTGAATCACCTCTTTAAAGACCCCATCTCCAAACACAGTCACAATTGGAGGTCCTGCAGGTTAGGACTTCCATTTGTAAAATTGAGGAGGGTACAATTTGGCTCACAACAGATTTAAACCATGGAACATGGTCAATTACAATGGGGATGCCATTGGACAGCCTGGTTCAGTGGAGATAACCAGGGTTTGGGAATCTAGAGAGACAGTTTCATCTCAGCAACATCACGCGCCTGGCCTACGCTCTCAATAATACTCTTCCTTAATTTTTTTTTTCTGAGACAGAGTCTCGCTCTGTTGCCCAGGCTGGAGTGCAGTGGTGCAATCTCAGCTCACTGCAGTGCAATGGCACAATCTCAGCTCACTGCAACCTCTGCCTCCCAGGTTCAAGCAGTTCTCTCACCTCAGCCTCCCGAGTAGCTGGGATTACAGGCACACGCCTCCATGCCTGGATCAGACCAGAATCCAGCCACATGCAGATTCCAGATCAGCCCAGAATCTGATTCTGAAGCATTCCCAGAGGTTGGGATTCACAGACTACAGCAGAGTTTCCCAGCCTCAGCACCGTGGCTGCACACATCGCTCACAGGTTTAGGTGCCTCTGGCCCCTGATCCATCGGGGGAATCCCCAGGAGCTTTGCCGTGTCTGGCAGAGCCCCACCTGCAGGCAGAACCCCACTTTTCTACCCCCTGTGTGCCAATGAGAAAGAGGAAAATGGCTGGAATGAGGGGGGCCCTCACAGGAAGGGTCAGTTGTTATCCAAGAAAGGGGAGACATTTCTTGGACTCCGTGCTTGTCTGCTAATTGGCTCCAATATTTGCCAGATGTCTTCACACTCAGGTGCCAAACAGCCATAGACTTTTTCTGCACAGCCCCTTCCTACTCCAAGAAGGAAACTATGGAATGCTCAGCTTCTGGGTTATATGTGCCATGGCTCTATGCCCTATGGGGAAAAGATCCTACAAGTGCATTCTGACAGTAAGATCCATTTAGAAATGCCCAGACAACTATACCGTACCTCCTATACTGTACAGGACAACTATACCTCCAGACAACTATACCTCCAGACAACTATACCTCCTACAGCGTACAGGAGCATGACATTTCCAACCTGTCCCCTTTCGCAGGGTTAGAAGTTATAACTAACAGCAGGTTCTCCACTACAGCACTAATGACACTTGGGGCTGCGTAACTCTCTGTCATGGGTGCTGTCCTGTGCACTGTAAGGTGTTGAACAACATGCCTTGTCTCCACCCACCGAATGCGAGAACACCCATCCCAGTGCAACTACCAAAATTGTTTCCAGACATTGCCAAGTGTTACTCGAGGAACACAATTATCCCTGGGTAGCAGAAGAATGTCACAGATAGATGATGGACTGCTAGATAAATAGATAGATTGATAGACGGATGGATAGATAGATACATAGATAGATACATAGATACATAGATAGGTAATAGAGATGAGAGTTGGATAGAGAAGTAGGTAGAAAGATAGATAAATAGATAGATAATAGATGACAGAAAATCATTGACAGATAGATTAGGTAGATGATAGGTGTATATAATAGAGACAGATAGGTGGATGGATAATGGTAGACGATAGATAGATCTAGAGATAGGCAGACAGACAGACAGGATCTCTCATGCTAAGGCAAGATTCCTCAGCCTCAGTCCTACTGACATATGAGGTTGGATCATTCTTTTCTGTGGGGCGTCCTGTGCACTGCAGGGTGTTGACCAGCATCCCTGGGCTCCACCCACTAGATGCCAGCAGCATCCCTGCTATCAGTGTGGCAACGCAAAGCCTCAAGATATCGACAAGTGTCCCTGTGGATAAACATGATCCCTGGTTGAGAATGGCTGGATGGCAGCACCTGTATCTGGGGGTGTCACCTTGGGCCTGCATAGAGTGAATGACACATCACCGAATTGGAGAGCACAGAGCTGCCTCCCCACTGTGGCAGTGATCCATGAGACTCCACGCAAAGGTAACCACACGGTTGCACACGGAGTCATCATCTCTTAAAAGAAGCACATAGCTCCGCTTGGGCATCACCTGGGGTGCTTCTTAAAATGCAGGTCTCCCAGCTCCCAAATGCCTGACCCACACCTGCTGAATAAAGACCTCAGTGGGTGGGGACTGGGTGGCGCTTTTAATACCTCCTCCCTTCAAGGTGATGACCTGCACATCAAAGACAGAGAATCACTGCACGAAATGGCTACACGCTCCAGGTGACAATGGCAGGGAAATGACCCATTTGTGGTTCCCTTTCCACACCTACAAATTTGCTAGATCCTTTGCAGGGAAGGAGGGGGCAGGGAGAGAGGGGGCACCAGAATGGAAGCAAGTCAAGAAAAATATAACTGAGACGTAGGATGAGGCTGGCGTGGTTTGGGGTTCTGTACGCTGGCGTGGTATGGCTTCTCACCTTAGGCGATCATCATAACTTTTTTTTCCTTTTTTTTTTTTTTTTTTTTTTTTTGAGATGGAGTCTTACTCTGTCACCCAGGCTGGAGTGCAGTGGTATGATCTCAGCTGATTGCAACCTCCGCCTCCTGGGTTCAAGCGATTCTCCTGTCTCAGCCTCCTGAATAGCTGGGATTACAGACACCCCCCACCATGCCTGGCTAATTTTTGTATTTTTAGTAGAAACAGCGTTCTGCCATGTTGGCCAGGCTGGTCTCAAACTCCTGACCTCAAGTGATCTGCCCAACTCGGCCTCCCAAACTGCTGGGATTACAAACATGAGCCACTGTGCCCGGCCCACAACTTCCCCATATCCCAATTTTTAGAAGTAAACTAAACAGCCTGTGACAACCTAATGCAGCAAGTAATGAAAAATACTTGGCACAATCCTCACTTACCTTTACTCAACAGGAAGTACTCAGAAATATGATTTGCTACTGTTCAGAGCTCTGAGTGATCTTTTTCATAAGTCTTTTTTAGTCTTTACATAGAAACACAGCTCTATACAAATGCACACACATTTTAAGTCATGTTGATACGGACAGGAGGCCTGAAGATACTAGATACAAGAGGGCAGTTCCCCAGCAAAGGCCCCGCCCTCAAGCCTGGAAACCTGTAGTCCTAAATGGAAACAGGCATTCCTATTTTTGTGCCCAAATGTTGCCTTTTGACCCACCATGCCTGCCTGTCCTGTACCCATATAACCCCAAACCCCAGACCCCATGTGCAGACAGACAGATGAGCAGAAAAGGTGAGGAACCAAAGAGCAGCACAGCAGAGAAGGAGAGAAGAGAAGGAACATCTGAACACTGAGAGGTGTTCAGCTGGGGATGGTTGGAGAAGAGATTAGCCGCAGGACAACCAAACTCCAGGGGAAGATCATCTGCCCACTCCATCCCCTTTCCAACTCCCCAACCATCCCGCTAAGAGTCATCTCCATCTGGCAACAAACTCTTCTGCATTTACCATCCTTCAGCTGGTTCGTGTGACCTGATTCTTCCTGGATGCTGGACAAGAACCCGGGTACCAAGACGGCACTGAGCTGGCTAACACTTAAGCCACGTGCGGATGGCAGAGCTAAAAGAGCACCGTAAAACGCCCACTAGGGCTTCGGGGGTCGCAGGCACCCATCCCTAGATGCTACCGTGGGGCCCAGAGCTCAAAAACACTCACACTAGCTGCTGCACCTGCCCGTCTGCAAGTTCTGCCTCCCATAAGAGGTTTCAGTGTGTGGCGGTCAAACAGATCAAACACACCCCTGTTGCACATCCTGTGAGGGGGCGTCAGGGAACTCTCAGGTTTCAAATCTGATAAGGGAATAATGTACAATAGACTTGGAAGAGACTGTCTTAGCTGGTGTATATCCTGGACATATATCCTTTTCTTTTAATTTATTTTTAATTGATGCATAACAGATGTACATAGCTTCAGGGTACATGTAATAATTTAATACATTTATATAATTTGTAAAGATCAAATCAGCCTACTTGGGATATCCATCCACCTTAAATATTTGTCTTTCCTTCATATTAGAACCATTCCGACTCTTCTATTTTGAAGTCTACAATAGATTATTGTAAACTAAAGTCACCCTACTGATTATGTAAACACTAGTGCTTATTTCTTCTATCGAACTCTGTCATTTTCTTTTTTTTCCCCTCAATAAATGACATTTCATACACTGCCCTTTGGGGTTTCCACTTCTGGTTCTCAGCTTCTTCTCAGCTGTTAGAAGACCTGATTTTGTCTCGTGCTCCTTCATGCCCCTCTGGATTGGACGGCAAATACTAATTAAATACAGTGGAAATGTAGGGCTGCTAAAATGTCAACCTCTATTAGGAATATGGCCGTCTTGCTATTATCTTCTTTTGTATTGATAATTTAGTAATCATCATAATGATTTACAGCATATTAACCATTAACAATATTCTGTCTTCTTTATTTTATTTTAAGTTCCGGGATACGTGTGCAGGACGTGCAGGTTTGTTACATAGGTAAACATGTGCCATGGTGGTTTGCTGCACCCATCAACCCGTCACAGAGGCATTAAGCCCCACATGCATTAGCTATTGATCCTGAACAATAATCTGTTTTCTTAAGTACTTCATAGCAATCATCGCACCAGCCTTGCAGAATGTTTTTGGGATCTTGGGAATGTGCCCCATTTCCAGCTGGTGATGGCTGGGGATGAAACAGGGTCGTCTGTGCATTTAACTAATTTTTACCCAGGACATACCCAGCTGCTGCATGTACATCATCTTATTTACACAGAAGGGCCCTGATCCAGACCTCACTTTCCTTCCAGTCCCTCCTGTAACCTCCCTAAGGGGCGCTACTTGTGTCAGAGGCACTGGAACCAGAGCGACTCCATCTTGAATAGGGGCTGGGCAATAGAAGGCTGAAACCTACTGGGCTGCATTCCCAGATGATTAAGGCATTCTGAGTCACAGGATGAGACTGAAGGTCTGCACAAGATACAGGTCATAAAGACCTAGCTGATAAAACAGGTGGTAGTAAAGAAGCCGGCCAGAACCCACCAAAACCCAGATGGTGATGAGAGTGGCCTCTGGTTGTCCTCAGTGTTACCCTCCCACCAGCACCATGACAATTACAAATACCACGGCAATGTCAGGAACTCTGCATGGTCTAAAAAGGGGAGGCATGAATAATCCAAGCCTTGCTTAGCATATCACTAAGAAATAACCATAAAAATGGGCAAGCAGTAGCTCTAAGAGCTGCTCTGCGGAATAGCCATTCTTTTATTCCTTTACTTTCCTAATAAACTTGTTTTCAGTTTACAGACTAGCCCTGAATTCTTTATGGAGCGAGATCCAAGAACCCCGTCTTGGCGTCTGGATCCGGACCCCTTTCCTGTAACACTTGGAGGAGGGATGATTCTGATTTTCAGAAGACAAGGCTTGGGATAGAGCGGGATGCTCACTGGAGTCTTCCCAGACAGAGCTACAGGACAGCTCAGATTCCGCTGCCGGCTGCCCCCGTCCAAATCCTCAGTGCCTCAGTTTACCCATATCTGTGACGGTTAATACTGAATGTCAACTTGATTGGATTGAAGGATACAAAGTATTGATCCTGGGTGTGTCTGTGAGGGTGTTGCCAAAGGAGATTAACATTTGAGTCAGTGGACTGGAAGGGGCGGACCCACCCTCAATTTGGGTGGGCACCATCTAATCAGCTGCCGCTGTGGCTAGAATATAAGCAGGCAGAAAAATGTGAAAAGAGACACTGGCCTAGTCTTCTGGCCTACATCTTTCTCCCATGGTGGATGCTGGAACATCAGACTCCAAGTTCTTCAGTTTTGGAACCTGGACTGGCTCTCCTTGCTCCTCAGCCTGCAGACGGCCTGTTGTGGGACCTTGTGATCATATGAGTTAATACTTAATAAACTCCTCTCTCTATATATATTTCTATTGCATTAGTTCTGTCCCTCTAGAGAACCCTGACTAATACACCATCTGTAAAATGACATCAGGCACGACACTCCCGTCATAGGGCTGAGGGACAATCAACTAAGTTAATCCATGCCTAGTGCATAGGAAGTGCTGCCGTCAGTCAAAGAATTTAGCGCAGGACAGGGTATGGTGGCTGATGCCTGTAATCTCAAGATTTGGGGAGGCCAAGGCAGGAGGATCGTTTGAGCTGAGATGTTCAAGTCCAGCCTGGACAACATAGTGAGATCCCGTCTCTACAAAAAGTTTTAAAAACTAGTCAGGCACAGCGGCAAATGCCTGTAGTCCCAGCTACTCTGGAGGCTGAGGTGGGAGGTTTGTTCGAACCCCTGGGGTGAAGACTGCAGTGAGCTATGATGGAACCACCGCACTCCAGTCTAGGTGACACAGTGGGCCCCTCCCTCAAAAAAATTAAAACACATTAAAAAAAAGAAAATATTTTATGTTGTAAGTGCATTTAATACAACTACCCTACCAAACGCCATAGCTTAGCCTTACCTGCCTTCAGAGTGCTCAGAACACTTTTCATCAGCCAACGGATGGACAAATCATCTAGCACACAGTCAACTTTATAATGAGGTGTTGCATACCTCACATAATTTATTGAACATTGTACTGAAAGTGAAAAACAGAATGGCTGTATGGGGCCGGGCATGGTGGCTCACATTTATAATCCCAGCACTTTGGGAGGCCGGTGGATCACCAGAGGTCAAGATTCAAGACCAGCCTGGCCAACATGGTGAAACCCAGTCTCTACTAAAAATAGAAAAATTAGCTGGGTGTGGTGGTGGGCACCTATAATCCCAGCTACTTGAGATGCTGAGGCAGGAGAATTGCTTGAACGTAGGAGGTGGAGGTTGCAGTGAGCTCAGATTGTGTCACTGCACTCCAGCCTGGGCAACAGAATGAAACGACACGACATCTCAAAAAAAAAAAAGAAAAGTTGTATGGGTACTCAAAGTACAGTTTTCGTTTGTACTGAATGCATACCAATTTTACACCGTTGTAAAGTTGAAAAATCTTAAATTGAACCATCATGTCAAACCATGGTAAGTTGGGAACTGTCTGTATCCGCACTTTGTAGAAGTTGATTTGCCCAAGGGGATATGGTTAACCTTTGGCTCTTACTGTGAATGATACAAACTCCTGGAAGTACTTTTCTGGGGAGGTGGGTTTACTGTTGAACATCTCCCTGTAAACAGAAGCTAATGAATGCATGGCCACATTGTCCACTTACTAGGTGAGATCTGAAGACAGCACAGAATAATAAAAAATTCTCACTGCAGATCCTAGACTATGTCCACCAGGATCTATCCATCCCGACACCGCCTCCGCCCATAAACAACCAACTCCAATCTTAATGACGTCCATGTCTTTAAATAGGATAAACAGGAAATGCTGCCACAGGGACATCTGAATGATGTGTTTTAACTCCTAACAGAAATACTTCTCTCTCTTAAGATGCGCCCAGGTGTTCCCTTCTCTGAAATCGCCACATGAAAATGACCAAAGAAACTTACTCAACCGTTGTTCAAATCCTGTACTTTATGAGTTCATTGGAGTTTCTTAAAGAGGTCCTCGTACGGAACTGAAAAATCTAATCTTGGATCTGGGACAGCCAGCCTGCAAGTTTATATCGAAGTTTTTGATGTGAACAATTCAGGTGGTTTTAATTTGCAAGAATGAATGACAGTGTTTAGGAAAAGATTTAAAAATCTGAATAAATGCAACCCTTCCGGCAAACGAATCTCTGGTAATCTGCCCCACGGGATGAAGTAGTTTCAACTCTACTTTTACTGTATGGAAATGGTCAGAACTAATTTTTAAAATCAGAAAGAAATGACTGACATTCCACACACACCCAGTCATGCTTGAATCATGGAGTTAAATAGGTCATTTTTTAAACGCTTGGGACACATGGATCAAAACAGGAAAATATGGCGAATATCTAGATGGTATCAGCTAACATCCTGCCCTTCTGGATCTAATTCCCAGATTCCAAATGGGAGCAGCCCGTCTTCTCCCTCCCCTCTCAGCCACCCATCGCTCTTAGTCTCCTTTCTAATCCCATTGGGCAAATTATCCCCATTCACTTCATAGCAACTCCTTTGGAAAGAGTTTCTTAAAGCAAGAATAGAAAAATCCATGCCCAGGCAGATCTCCCTCAAAGCAAAATGCCTCTTACCTCGGGCGTGCATTAGAAAACACAGGAACGCAAGACAGGGAAGTCCCCACCAGCTCTCCATGGTTTGCTTCAGGATGCAAGAACCTCAGTGGACTCCCCAGCCAAGCGGATTGTGAGACCCGGCCTCTCCACCCTCCTGTTGTTGACTTCTGGTCTCCCAGCTTGGAAGGAAGGGAGGCGATGTCTTCAAGTGGAAAATATGAGCGGAACTGCCAGAAACAAATGGGCTCCAAGCTCAGATCCCAAACTCCACAGCTGAAAACCTGTGGGACCAGTGTAGGCACACTCAGTCGTGTGTCGGAGCCAGCCTCCCCGGGCTGCCCCAACCAATCTGCAGCAGCACAGACGATGGGGAAACTGGGGTGGTTCCCAAGCACCAATGGGCATCTCAGGCTTCTGGAAGCCGGCACACTTGCTTGGCAACTCTGCTCGCTGCGGGTGTGGGAGCTGTAGCAAGTTCAAAGTCACCAACCCAGAAACCAGAGAAGACACTGGCCGCCTGTAATCTTCCTCCTGCAGGACATGATTGTACAGTGATACCCAGTGTGGGGTTAATGTACACATCAGTGCAAAGACCTCAGTTGAAGTCTTGGCTTTTATACCTAACAAACTCAGTGACTTCCAAGAGGCATTTTTTATCCTCAGCCTTCAGTTGTCTTTGTAGGTGGCAGAACTAATATTTCAGCAGAGACGGTTGTTCAGGAAAAGGAGATATGTGGCTTTTTGTGTCTTTCATTTAAATCTGAGACATTTTATGTAACTACCAAAATTTACATCTTCTGTTTGAAATCTCCTTGGAGAAGAAACATGACTGGATAGCTGAGTTCGATGATGACTCCTGCTTTCACAATGGTTTTAATTATATTCTTCCCTGCAGATCTGTGAGTGTGTCTAATTTATCCATATACAACTCGTGGGTTAACCCTTACACTCTACCTACCATGAAGCAGTAGGCAAGCACTTAAAAAGTTACCATTTGCAAACAGCTTTGAAGTCCTCTGGTAAATAGATTAACTGCAGGAGAAAGGGGAAAATCAGTCTTAGTTATGAGGGCAGCTTCTAAATTCCCAGAGAAGCAGGATTCATGGCAAACAGACCCAAAAGGAGAAATAAACCTTGGACTTTTCTCTCTGCAAATTTGAGCATCTGGAGTGTTAAGTCTGTTCATGTTGTTGACCTGGTGTTTGGGAGTTGTCTTCTATGAAATATCTTCCTTTTTTTTTTTTGAGACAGAGTCTCACTCTGTTGCCCAGGCTGGAGTGCAGTGGTGTGATCTCAACTCACTACAACCTCCGCCTCTCAGGTTCAAGTGATTCTCCTGCCTCAGCCACCCGAGTAGCTAGGATTACAGGCACCCGACACCACACCCGGCTAATTTCTGTATTTTTAGTAGATACAGGGTTTCACTGCATTGGCCAGGCTGGTCTTGAACTCTTGACCTCAAGTGATCCACCTGCCTCGGCTTCCCAAAGTGCTGGGATTACAGGTGTGAGCCATCGCGCCTGGACTGCAACATCTTTATAAAGGTAAGTTACTTGGATGGATTAAGTTCCTGTGCACACAGGTGTGTGTGTGTGTGCACGTGTCTGTCTGTGTGTGTGTGCGTGTGTGCGTGTGCATGTGTGCGTGTGCATGTGTGTTCATGTGTGTGTGTGTGTGCATATGGGGGAAATGCTCTAAGGCAGTTAGCTTGTGCAGTCCTAAGCTCTGAGTGGCAGAGTCCAGGAAGCAGTTGATGCATTTAGAAAGATATTTCCTTCAAAGTCCCCTGACCCTAAAGAGGACTGACACCGTGACATCTGCTACAAAGTGGATGGACGTCAAAAACTGGATGCTGAGTTAGAGAAAACAGACACAGAAGAACGCATTGTGTAGGATTCCATTTCTCTGAAATGTCCAGAACAGGCAAATCTGCAGAGACAGAAAGCACATTGCCGGTTGCCAGGGGCTGGAAAGACGTGGGAATGGATATATTATGAGTTGCATTTTTTCTCCCGCAAACTTCATATATTGAAGCCCAACCCTTCAGTACTTCAGAATGTGACTTTCTTTGGAGATAAGATCTTTGCAGATGTATTACTTTGGTGCAAAAGTAATTGCAGTTTTCACCATTAATTTTTTTTTTTTTTTTGAGACACAGGCTTGCTCTGTCACCCAGGCTGGAATGCAGTGGCGTGATGTCAGCTCACTGCAACTTCTGCCTCCTGAGCTCAAGTGATTCTTCTGCCTCAGCCTCCTGAGTAGCTGGAATTACAGGCATGCACCACCACACCTGGTTAATTTTTGCATTTTTAGTAGAGACGGGGTTTCACCATGTTGGCCAGGCTGGTCTCGAACTCCTGACCTTGTGATCCGCCCACCTCGGCCTCTCGAAGTGCTGAGATTACAGGCGTGAGGTAGCGTGCCCAGCTCCTCGCCATTACTTTTGAAGGTGAAAACTGCAATTACTTTTGCACCAACCTAATCATTAGTTAAGATGAGGTCATACTGCAATATGATTGGTATTTTAAAAGAAGAGAGAAATCTGGACACTGACATGCACACAGGGAGAAGGCCTTGGGAACATGAAGTGGGAGATTGGGGTGATGCACCTACAAGCCAAGGGATATTGGCAGCAAACCACTGGACGCAATGGGAGGGGCATGGAATCCATTCTACCTCACAGCATCAGAAGAAATCAGCCCTGCTGGCTGGGCCCGGTGGCTCACGTCTGTAATCCCAGCACTTTGGGTGGCTGAGGTGAGCGGATCACTGGAGATTAGTAGTTCGAGACCAGCCTGGCCAACATGGTGAAATCCCGTTTCTACTAAAAATACAAAAATTAACTAGGCACGATGGTGCGCGCCTGTAATCCCAGCTACTTGGGAAGCTGAGGCAGGAGAATTGCTTGAACCCGGGAGGCAGAGGTTGCAGTGAGCCAAGATTGTGCCACCGCACTACAGACTGGGCAACAGAAACAGAGTGAGACTCAGAAAGAGAGAGAGAGCGAGAGAGAGAGAAGAAAGAGAAAGAAGAAAGAAAGGAAGAAAGAAAGAAAGAAGAAGGAGGAGGAGGAAAGGAAGGAAGGAAGGAAGGAAGGAGGGAAGGAAGGAAGGAAGGGAGGGAGGGAGGGAGGGAAAGGGGAAAGGTAAGGAAAGGAAGAAAGAGAAAGGAAGGAAGGAGGGAAGGCAGGAAGGGAGGGAGGGAGGGAGGGAGGGAGGGAGGGAGGGAGGGAGGGAAGGAGGGACGGAGGGAGGAATCCACCCTGTTTGCTCCTTGATTTCAGACCTCTATGCTCCAGAACTGTGACAGCTTAACTGTCTGTTTTTTAAGCCCCCTACCTAGTTTGAAGCATGTTTTTATGACAGCCCCAGGAAGCCAATATAAAAAACAGCTGCTAATGGGATTTCTTTTGGGGGCAGTGAAAATATCTTGGAACTAGGTAGAAGTGGTGGCCACAAAACACTGTGAAAGCAGCAAGCAACCTGAATTGTTCACTTTAAAATGGTGAATTCTCCTGTCATCCCAGCACTTTGGGAGGCTGAGGCGGGTGGATCACCTAAGGTCAGGAGTTCAAGACCAGCCTGGCCAACATGATGCAACCCATCTCTACTAAAAATACAAAAATTAGCCAGATGTGGTGGTGACTGCCTGTAATCCCAACTACTTGGCAGGCTGAGGCACGAGAATTGCCTGAACCCGGTAAGCAGAGGTTGCAGTGAGATGAGATCACGCCAGCCTGGGTGACAGAGACTCCGGGTCAAAAAAAAAAAAAAGGTTAATTCTATGATTTGTGAATTTCACCTTAATAAAAAAAATGTTTCCCAAAAGGTAGTGAGGAGTTAGGTTAAATGGTTAAGTTCAGGAAATCCTCTCAGATGTAGTGAAGGTGCAAAATAATTGCTACGATTTCCAGCATGCCTAACGTGCCAGTGTTGTAAGTATTTTACATGCTTCTTGAGGCAAGAGTAGACAAGCTTTTCTGCAGAAGGTCAGATAGTAAAGGCATTTATCTTTGCAAACCATATGGATTCTGCTGCAATATGTAACCAATGTCTGTGCGCCAAGTGGACTTTATGAACATAAAAACTTGAGTGTCACATAATTTTCATGCATCACAAAATATTATTGTTCTTTGGAGTTTTGAAAATTATTCAGACATGTAAAAACCATTCTTGGCTGGGCACCGTGGCTCATGTCTGTAATCCCAGGACTTTGAGAGCCAGAGGCAGGCAGATCACTTGAGGCCAGGAGTTCGAGACCAACCTGGCCAACATGGTGAAACCCTGTCTCTACTGAAAATACAAAAAGTAGCCGGGCGTAGTGGTGCATGCCTGTAGTCCCAGCTGCTCAGGTGGCTGAGGCAGGAGAATCGCTTGAACCCAGGGGCGGAGGTTGCAGTGAGCCGAGATCATGCCACTGGACTCCAGCCTGGGCGACGGAGTAAGACGCCATCTCAAAACAACGATAACGACAATAATACAAAAAAATTCTTACCTCGAAAGCTGTACAAAAACACACCGTGGGCAGATTTGGCTCCCGGGTTCTAGTTTGCCGACATCAAAGCTGTGTGTTGCAGGAGTCCTGGGAAACCCAGTTTTATCACCTCTGCTTCACTAAAGTATGGTCAGGGCAGGCCGTGTGCCCAGCGGTAATACACGCAGGCTCCAGATCAGAGCACGTTAGGGGAAAAGCACTCTACTTCACCGCTCGAAGCCTCAGCTGATCAAATGCTGGGAGCTCACAGACATGGCAGAATTTACAAAGCCGACTTTAATTTTCACATCCTCGATAACCTTAAAAAGCGTGAATGCATCTCCTTTTCAATGTTCATGGGATGCTCCTGAAAATTCACAACTGCACTACAAAGAAAGCTTTAGCAAACTGTTTTTTTAAAGTAGAAACAAGACAGAAGACATTCTGTTGCTGTAAAATTGGAAATAAGAATATTCTAGGCCACGCATGATGGCTCACACCTGCGATCCCAGCACTTTAGGAGGCCGAGGCGGATGGATCACCTGAGGTCAGGAGTTTGAGACCAGCCTGGCCAACATGGTGAAACCACATTTCTACTACAAATACAAAAATTAGCCGGGTGTGGTGGCATGTGCCTGTAATCCCAGCTACTTGGGAGGCTGAGGCAGGAGAATCACTTGAACCGGAGAGGTGGAGGTTGTAGTGAGCTTAGATCAGGCCACCGCACTCCAGCCTGGGGGACAGAGTAAGACTCTGTCTCAAAAACAAAATAAAAAGTAATAAAAAATAAAAGAATAAAGATATCCTTATTCTGCGTCACACTAACTTCCTGACTTTGTGATTCACCCTGGCACACATACAGACATGGATACAACAGGTTTTTAAGATATAAAATCAAGAAAAAAATCAAATCTATTCCTTTCTTAGGAGCGTTGGTCAGGAATGGGCAGGAATTAGGTAGAAAGGTGTGTGCATGTTTCATTGCTTGTAGACACTGCCTGTGATGGTTCATACTGACTGTTAACCTGATTGGATTGATTGACACAAAGTATTGATCCTGGGTGTGTCTGTGAGGGTGTTGCCGAAGGAGATTACCATGTGAGTCAGTGGGCTGGGAAAGGCAGGCCCCCCGCCCTTAATCTGGGTGGGCATAATCTAATCAGCTGCCATCAAGGCTAGAATATAAAGCAGGCAAAAAAATGCAAAAAGAGAGACTGGCCTACCCTCCCAGCCTACATCTCTGTCCCGTGCTGGATGCTTCCTGCCCTCAAACACTGGACTCCAAGTTCTTCAGTTTTGGGACTGGGACTGGCTCTCCTTGCTCCTCAGCCTGCAGATGGCCTATTGTGGGACCTTGTGATCGTGTGAGTTAATATTTAATAAACTCCCCTTTGTGTGTATATATATATTCCATTAGTTATGTCCCTCTAGAGAACGCTGACTAATATACAGCCAAATCACTCCCCAAGGAGACGGTGCAAATTCACAGCAGCAAAATTGAAAATGGATAATGAAACCAGGAAAGCAAACAAAGCAACAATATCACCCGGACGTTTTAAAAAACTTTTAATGTTGAGTTGACAGGAAACAAAAGCTGAAAATGCTAAATACTAGAAAATGACCATGATACAAACTCCCCATGAAAGAACTTGAGAGCTTGTAGTACACAGATGAAAAGTTAGAACCTCGCCTGTTTACAACATTAAGCAAGAAAGAATGAAAATAAATGGAATGAACATTCAACTCGAGAAGTCATCCTGTGTGGGGAGAGTGGGTATCACATGAAACTCCAGAAAAGCAGGTGGAGGAAATTAATGCATTGAAAATTGAGAAATGATTTGCCAAATAATTTAAACATTATCTGAGAAAACTAAAGTAGACGAAGATAACAAACTAAAATAATGACAGCACAAAACAAGAAGAATGCGAGCTTCTCCATACACTTGGAGGATGCGGAAGAATTATAAACAACTACTTTGTTCTAATCTGCACTGTGATATTTGAAAACTTAAGTAAATACGAATGACTTTCCAATGAAGAAGTAGAAATACATAAAGTTTTTTTTTTAAAAATTCATTTCCCAGCCGGGTACAGTGACTCATGCCTGTCATCCCAGCACTTTGGGAGGCCGAGGAAGGCAGATCACTTGAAGTCAGGAGTTTGAGCCAGCCTGGCCAACATGGTGAAACCCCATCTCTACTAAAAATACAAAAATTAGCTGAGCGTGCTTGTATATGCCTGTAATCCCAGCTACTCGGGAGGCTGAGGCAGGAGAATTGCTTGAACTTGGGAGGTGGAGGTTGCAGTGAGCCAAGATTGCACCACTGGACTCCAGCCTGGGCAACAGAGTGAGACTCCATCTCTAAATAAATAAATCTCTCTCCAACAGAAAGAAACAAAAACCCTTTGCCCCCTCTAAAACACACACACACACACACACACACAGCCCATGCCCAGAAAACTTTAGCCAATCAGATTTTCCACAAGAGAAAGAAGAAAATCTACCAAAATGTATGTATGAAGAAAGCACAATATTGAAATATATTACATGCAAACATATAACACACATGAATTTGACTTTTGAATATTGACACAATAATCCTAAAGAAAATAACAAAACTAAAGTGTAACACCAAATAAGATTGGATTGAAGGATGATCGATGATATGTCATTATATTTAATTCACCATATTAACAGGTCAAAGTAGAAAACCATAGTCAGCATGATGCATCCCAAGAAAACACTTGATTGAATTTAATACCCATTCCTGACAAATGTTCTTAAGAAAGGAATACATTTTTTCATTATTTTATAGATGAAAACCTGTTGTAACCCTCACAAAAGTGTTAGAAGAATAGATACTTTTTTTCACGATTTTTTTTTTTTTTTTTAGATGGACTCTTGCTCTGTGGCCAGGCTGGAGTGCAGTGGCGCGATCTTGGCTCACTGCAACCTCCACCTCCCGGGTTCAAGCAATTCTCCTGCCTCAGCCTCCCGAGTAGCTGGGATTACAAGTGCGTGCCACCACGCCCAGCTAATTTTTTGTATTTTTAGTAGAGACAGGGTTTCACCATGTTGGCCAGGATGGTCTCGATCTCCTGACCTCTTGATCCAGCCGCCTCGGCCTCCCAAAGTGCTGGGATTACAGGCGTGAGCCACCGCACTCGGCCTTTTTCATGATTTTATATATGAAAACCTTTTGTATCCCCACAAAGGTGTTAGAAGAATTTTTTTTCATAATTTTATATATGAAAACCTGTTGTATCCTCACAAAGTGTTAGAAGAATAGATGCATTTTTTCATGATTTATATATGAAAACCTGTTGTATCCCCACAAAATGTTAAAAGAATAAACTTTTTCATAATTTTATATACGAAAGCCTGTTGTATCCATGACTGTATGTATGCCCATATGAATCATGAATTAAGGAAGTTACCATGGCACAGAATTAACATAAGTAGGTAGTTTAAATATATAAAAAATGAAAGATACAAATCAATATAAAAATATGAAAAGGCTATGAAGAGATACAAAAGAAGTCAACTAAGAAAAGAGATGTATTGGGCCCAGCGCGGTGGCTCACGCCTGAAATCCCAGCATTTTGGTAGGTCGAGGTGAGCAGATCACGAGGTCAACAGATCGAGACCATCCTGGCCAACATGTTGAAACCCCGTCTCTACTAAAAATACAAATATTAGCTGGGCATGGTGGTCTGTTCTCTTCTCTGCGATACATGACAACTTTTCCACATTGAGAACTGTCTCCCCATTAAGGCTTCCAAAATACATGGCTCTATGAAAGCTTGGAGAGGGCTCCACTTGCATTTTGTGCTAACATCATAGAGATTTAAAGTCCTGATATTCGGAATGGGATTGACGTCATAAACTTTCCTCCACCGGAAAATGAGGATATCATCAGTACGTCCTCAGTCGCACAGGCAGGCTAACGTGAAGCTGTTTAAATAGTCATCCAGAGAAAGGCGATTTCAAGGGAATGTTTCATTTCGCCACTGATGATGGTGTTAAAAACTGACTGCTGCACGTCACAGCAGCTAGGCTTCCCATGAATCTCTCTATGCAAACGTATGGTGTTACCATACCCATGTCAAAAATCGTCTGATTTGGGGAAAGAGGTTGGATGAAGGAGTCAGTCATAAATGCTGGGTCTTTCCCCTTTCTAAGCTCAGAAACTCCGCCTTCAATTTCAGTTCTGGGTGGGAGTCATCCAAGCAGTCTCCCTGCTGTTGAGGATTCGACACCTTTTCACATCCCATCATTCTCAGGATATTGAAGGGCACAGCCAGCTGGCTTTTTCTGGCATTGGAGTTATTTCTTCTGATTTTGACACTAGTGATAACTTGGAGTATGTAAAATTGGGTGAACACAGTGGCGGGCACCTCTTGGTTATTTATCTTACCCTTTCATTGCTTCCTTTAGCAAATACCTATAGGATGCCACCTGTGGTGCAGGTGTGTGGAGGTGACCTTCTAGATTCTCCAGGATGTATTGAGACATCACAAATGCCTCATCCTCTCCACCCTTGAGGGGGCCGACCACGGATGTGCATGTTTAATTGTTTAAGGACACTGTCAGTCCATTCCCCATAGAAGTTTCGCAAATGCCCAGGACTTACATGATGTCTCAGATCTGTTTCCTAAGAGCCCTACAAACTTTCTGATTATTGCCAATCTCTTAGTTGAAAAACGACATCAAATGGGCTATCTTCATAAAATCATCTGCGTTCCATTTCTGGAAAACATGTGAATTGCCCTTTGTTTTTATACGGGTGTTGGGTCCTTTTCTCATTGATCTATAGGGACTGTTTACGCCTCAGTGAAGTAGGTGGCAGATATTCTTTTTCACTTAATCCTTAGTCTGGTGAATCTTCAAGGGCTGAAAGCTGGATAAACCAGCATGCCTGGCCGCTTTGCTGAGTGACCAATGACACGTTATAAAGTTAGAGGGTGGTGTTTCTAGTCCTCCCCAATGAATTATCAAGAATTGTCTTTGAGGTCAGATTCTTCACATTGACTAACTTTAGAATAAAAAAAAGAAAAAATGCATTAAATCTGTTGTCATTCTATGAATAACACTGACATTTTTGTAAGTATTATAATCATACCATCCACACAAATGGCTCATTGTAATCATACTATCCACAGAAATGGCTCATTAAACAAGAAGCAGAAGAGTAAAAAGAAGAATAGTAAAAAAAAAAAAAAAAAAAAAAAAAAAAAAAGGTATTTTTTTAGATATGTCAAATTAGGGCTTACTTATAAATAAATCTATACTTCCAAGAAATGTGTCAACAAGACTTATTTTTTTGTGGAGGGTGGATGTCCATCTTTGTAGATGACTGATTTTAATTTCTCATGGACATAAAAATAAACATGATTTTATTGAAAGTGGGTTACTTGAAAAATAGAGTTTAAATTATACGGCTTGTTGGATCATTAAATACCTGGGTAAAACAAGTCTTTTGTTTCATTATTTTGGAACTTCTATGTAAAGAAAGTCCTATGATTTTGGGAATGATGATTAAAAAGTTACTTAAGGGCTGGGCCAGGCACAGTGGCTCACACCTGTAATCCCAGCACTTTTGGAGGCCTTGGCAGGCAGATCACTTGAGGTCAGGAGTTTGAGACCAGCCTGGCCAACATGGTGAAACCCAGGCTCTACTAAAAATAGAAAAATTAGCCGGGTGTGGTGGTGCACGCCTGTAGTCCCAGCTACTTGGGAGGCTGAGGCAGGAGAATCACTTGAACCCAGGAGGCGGAGGTTGCAGTGAGCCAAGATTGCCCCACTGCACTCCAGCCTGGGTGACAGAGCAAGACTCTGTCTCAAAAAAAAAAAAAAAAAAGTTACTTAATGGCTAATAGAACATAGAATAAAATACTTTATAAATTTTTGAAATAATAGTATTTGGAATAGTATGGTAGTTGTTGGTATCAGAGCCAATCTCTTAACTTCTTAAGGAGAGAGGCTTTTCTGTGATTTATTCTGCAAGTGTTTACTGAGCTTCAATACATGCTAGGCAGTGTCAGTAAACAAAAAGACCCTTGACTCATTCATTCTTTTTAACAAGGCAGAAGATCCATTGCAATCTGGGCCATAATGTATTTAACCAACCCACTTAAGCTGTGGTCAAGTCTTCAGTGTTGGGAAAATGCGGTACATCTTGTACATCTTAGGAAGTACAGTATCTGGATGTAGGGAGTACCTGGATTTAGAGGAGTATCTGGATACAGAGGAGTATCTGGAAGCAGGCAGCATCTGGACTCAAGGGGATAACTAGCTGCAGGGAGAGTATCTGGAAACAGAGTATCTGGATGGAGGAGAGTATCTGGCTGGGAGTATCTGGGTGCAGAAGAGTACCCATCCCGATGTGGCAGGACACGGGAAAGGAAAAGAGCCCAACAAGGACATTTTGGAAATAAAGAGCTAGCATTTAGGCTGGAAATCTGCCTTAAAGCCCCAGAAGAAGAGAACTTGGAACCCATCCTGTAAATTACCACGGCCTTCTTTAACATCCACCCACGGCAAAATATTTAAGTAAAAAAAAAAAAGTACTTGGTTTCTAATTTCTTTTTATTAGTCTGATATGAAAAACAAATATCCCTACAAATGAAAGAAATATTGAAGAAACAAATTGAAGGGCTTACCTTATTTTAATTAAAAAGAAGTCGGGGCTACCAGGGGTTTCAGACGTGCTCGATGGACACGTGATTTGTAAACAGCCAAGATTCTGGGGGACGGGGGGGTGCCTCGGTGGGGTTGACATTTGAGTTACAGGGACTTAATAATGGCCAGCCTTTCACATCCCATGGGAAACCGCCCCCCCGGGCCTTGGAGAATGGGGGTCCAAGTGCCTATCCCCCTTTGGATGTAAAATTCATCGTTAGTAAACATCATCCGCCCAGCAACAAGCAAAGCACATCGCAAGATTAAAACAAAGAATCCGCCGTGAACAGAAGGCCTCCATCTCTGCTCTCAGGCAGGTGTCCTTCAGGGAGGAGCCTCAGGCAGCTGTTCTAACCCTGCTGCCAACGCCTGGGCTGTTTCTGCCGACAATCTTCTATTTCTCTAAAAGAGTACGCTGAACTGTGGGAGACAGAGACAAAAGAAAGTCATTCCCAGGTCCCTGAGCACTCACGTGGACACAGTTCCTACAACTTTCAGGAGCCAGTGGTTTTATTTCTGCATAAGAAAAATGGGCCCAAAACTCATCACGAGAAAGCAAAACCCTAAATCTCAATCAATTCAATCAATTTCATTGAATGATGCCATTCATTAAAAAAAATGGATGCTGCAGAAAAAGCAGAAGGAAAACAGCAGAAGGCAATTTCCACTAACGACGTCACAGAGACACTAACAAATGCCTATAACTTACCAAATGGAAGAATAAATCTTCTAAATGAGAGTGTGCAGTTTTTATTGATTTGCAATGATGCTGGGCTGAGATTTTCTGGTCCATTCATTTAAGTTTTGGAAACTTTATTCTGCATGTCAGTCTTAAAACTATTTTGGAGGGAGAAGCTGGGATTTGGAAGAAGGAATTAAGAACAATGGTGGCAGAAAACACTGGAATGCCACGCCCTTCAAGTCACGAGGGCTCCACACACATATACCAATGTACTGGCTAATGAAGCCAGACAACTTCATTGCAGTGGGCAGAAGGAATCTTCCTTTTCTCTTTAAGATATAGCTTGTTCTAAACATCTTTCCCTGACTCGAAAGAGCAGTCAACAAGACACTAACTTTCTTTTATTATTATTATTATTATTTTTGAGACAGAGTTTTGCTCTTGTTGCCCAGGCTGGAGTGCAATGGCGCAATCTTGGCTCACCACAACCTCCGCCTCCCGGGTTCAAGCGATTCTCCTGCCTCAGCCTTCTGAGTAGCTGGAATTACAGGCATGCGCCACGATGCCTGGCTAATTTTTTTTTTTTTTTTTTTTTTAATTTTTAGTAGAGACGTGGTTTCTCCATGTTGGTCAGGCTGGTCTCGAACTCCCAACCTCAGGTGATCCGCCCACCTCAGCCTCCCAAAGTGCTGGGACTACAGGCATTAGCCACCGCGTCTGGCGAGACACTAACTTTGTAGAAGTCTCTATCTTTAAAATGGAATGCCAGGCACGGTGGCTCATGCCTGTAATCCTAGCACTTTGGGAGGCCAAGGTGGGCAGATCACTTGAGGTCAGGAGTTCGAGACCACTCTGGCCAACATGGCGAAAGCCCCGTCTCTAGTAAAAACAGAAAGAAAATTAGTGGGGCATGATGGCGGGTGCCTGTGGTCTCAGCTACTCAGAAGGCTGAGGAAGGAGAATCACTTGACACTGGGAGGCAGGGGTTGCAGTGAGCAGAGGTCGCACCACTGCACTCCAGCCTGGGTGACAGAGAGACACTCCATCTCAAAAAGAAAAAAAATTAAAATATTTTAAATCATTTCATTAAAAATCCCTCTCAATTTGACAGCTGCTATTAAAAATAAGCACTGCATCTCTCAGGCAAATGAGAAGGTTCCAATGTATGCACAAACAAAATAAAAAAATACACGCACATATACACACACACATTTTTTTCTTGCCATTTTCAAAAGTGGTTCTGATGGCAAAATGCCTGCCTTTTACCCTGAGAAGTTTCTCACGAATTAAAGTCTCTTCTTAACCACATTTTCCACCTGGTTGAGAGGATTTTTAGAAGGTGATAGCAGGCTGGGTGCGGTAGTTCACGCCTAGAACCCCAGCACTCTGGGAAGCTGAGGTCGGAGGGTTGCTTGAGCTCAGGATGGGCAACATAGTGAGACCCTGTCTGGGCAACCTAGTGAGACCTTGTCTCTACAAAATAAAAAAAAAACAACAACAAATCAGCCGGACACGGTGGTGCACGCCTGTGGTTCCAGCTTATCAGGAGGCTGAGGTGGGAGGATCCCTTGAGCCCAGGAGATCGAGGCTGCAGTAAGTTATGATCGTGCCACTGCACTCCAGCCTGGGCGACAGAGTGAGACCCTATCTCTAACAACAAAAAAAAAGTTGACAGCAAAACTTAACGAGTTATATTTCAGGAGATGGGCTTTTAATTCCCAGTGCACACCAGCCAGCTGTGGACTTCCCAACTATGCACCAATCGTGTGCCACTTGGAACTTTTTTTTTTTTTGAAACATGTCTCACTGTGTCGCCCAGGCTGGAGTGCAATGGCACGATCTCGGCTCACTGCAACCTCTACCTCCCAGGTTCAAGCAGTTCTCTTGCCTCAGCCTCCCAAGTAGCTGGGATTACAGGCGCCCACCACCACACTCAGCTAATTTTGTATTTTTAGTACAGACAGGGTTTCACCATGTTGGCCAGGCTGGTCTCGAACTCCTGGGAAAACTTCCTTAATATTTTGTTAAACAGAGACTTAGGCACATATAGGTCTTCTCTGAAGGCCCAGGCCCTAGGAAGTTTACACATTCATTGTCTTTTGAAAGTATCCCTCCAAAGCAACGAGACATAAAGGAAGACATTCAAAGCCATGCAACCAAATTTGAGAATGTGAGCAGGACAGCAAGATGGGAGAGGATGGAGAAGATA